>NC_000013.11:90798433-91101463 GCF_000001405.40 Homo sapiens | reverse complement strand
ACTGTGTGTTGACTCCATTGGATATTTGCAAGAAAAAGAAGTTCAAGTAAATTGACTAACTTTTCTTCCTACACAGTTCCCAACTTTTCCATATATCCCAGGGTTTCCATGAAAAATATTTTCATTTGACCTTATAGATAAAATGTAGATGGTTTCATAAATTCTTCCTATTTATTTCATAGAGATTCAGATAGTTGTGGTTTCTGAGAAATTGGCAAAGCACATAAATATCAGTTCTTTTGAAAAAAGTGCACAGTATTGTGCATAAGATTGGTCTGAATTATCCTTTAGAAACTGTAAAATTGTCCAGTTGGAATTTTAAGCAACAGATATGCAGAAACTTTATACATCATTTCCTGAAACTGCCATCCTGGATAAAGAATTGGTTTCTAAAAAGCCAGATAAGGGTGTGCTCCATAAAGCAAAAGAAGTGAAATAAAATTCCAGTAGAATGCATAGTTTTTCCCAGTTTCATTTGCTTTACATTTGAATTATGGTGATGCACAGAAACACATAATATTTCCTTTATATAGGCTGCATTTGATGAAATTATAAATATTAACTAAATAGTTGTTTTCTAGACCTTTTTAGTAATCTATCAGAGATTTATTAAAACATTATCAGTTTTGTCAGTGGTGCTTTGTTGTTTTATGTGGATAAACTTGTTAGTATAGCAAGGCTTCTTAAAAGAAATATGATCATGTGGCCAGGTGCGGTGGCTCACGCTCATAATCCTAGCACTTTGGGAGGCTGAGGCAGGCGAAACACTTGAGGTCGGGAGTTCGAGACCAGCCTGACCAACATGGAGAAACCCCGTCTCTACTAAAAATACAAAATTCACTGGGTATGATGGCGCATGCCTGTAATCCCAGCTACTTGGGAGGTTGAGGCAGGAGAATCACTTGAACCCAGGAGGCGGAGGTTGCGGTGAGCCGAGTTCGTGCCATTGTACTCCAGCCTGGGCAACAAGAGTGAAACTCCATCTCAAAAAAAAAAAAAAAAAAAAAGAAATATGGTAATGTAATATTAGGATGTTGTAAGCAATAATGAGTCTATTTCTTTCATTTAGTAGGGCTATTTTTATATGTAATAATCTATCTAACATGATAGTCTTGTGTGTCCAGATTTTTCACAATAATAGTTTTTTTCTTTTCTCTTTCTCGTTTCTATTCTTTTCTTTCATTTTCTTTTCTTTTCATTCTCTGCCATTACTAGTCATGCTCAAAATATCACATATGAGGAACAAAGTGAAAGTCAATTTCTGAAATCTATTTCAAATACATCATTTTGAAGGACTGGTGGTTCAAAGAGCCTAAACAATATAGAAGAAGGAATTGTGGTTTGGTGGGATGACAAATGACTGAACCAAAATTGGTTTGGGGTTTTATTTCTAGATACGTAAGTACATCTCTGTGTAAACTCACTTAGGTTACTTCATTTATTTCACTGCATCAACCACTTTAGAGATGGATTATGCTAATTCTGGATGCCAGATGATTGTCTAGCCTTATTATTGCACATTATTATAAATATATTAATAATAATACACTTCATTTCTAGCCTGGAATAATTATTGATTAAATTACAGAAAATCATGATTTAAAATTTACCAAGCACTGGCCAGAGAATATAGGAAGGGGAAGAAAGTAGAATGGCTGGTTATTGCCAAACTGGCTTTCTATTTCCTAAACTAGTAGCTCTCAACTTTTTTTCTTTTATCTAAGTCCCGTGAGTTCTTCTATGAAAGAATCTAAGTTTCAACACAATAAACACAAAATCTCACTTTTTTCCAAGTTGCACCTGCATATATTTATGTGAATTTTATAATGCTATTTATAATAAGATTTAGAAATACAAATTACTGCACTAATGTTGGGGGTGTATATTTTTGCTGTTGAAGATCCTATATCTAATAATGCTGTTACCTCTTGAACAAGGAAAATCACATTACTGTCATCAGTGGATTAATAGAGCTGCTACCTAGACTGACAAGACGCAGTAAAAACGCCTGGCAAATTGGAGCTGGGGTGATATGGAATCCTACAAAGAAGAACCACAGAAAGCATCATTAGAAAGAAAGCCTAGCAAGTGAGGTAGGAAAAAGCCTTCATTTCCAAGTTTATCCTATATTATTCATAATATGTTTCCACTTGCAACTGGACCTGGGAATTGAGTCAGAAAGAAAGCTTAGGGATATTCAGGAAAAATTTTTGTCACTAGTGATCTTCAAACTGGGATTGACATGTTAATCCTGGGAGTGTAAGAAAACTTTCTAAGGGGTAAGGGAGCCTAGATGTTTTAAGGAATATTTTTCAGATTCTCCACCTTCATATGAACTCTTTTCTAAAATTAGTCTGTGACACTTTTAGTGATAATCCTTCCATTTTATCAAAGAAAGGCACCCTACCATACCCCAAATTTTATCATGGTGTTTTAGGCATCCTCGGTACTCTTTGCAGACAAGAGAAAAGGGATGACCCCTTTAACTTTTGACAACTGATCAATGCACAAGAAACCATTAGAGATTTTTATTGTTCTTTCTTCATACGTATTCTCTTAAGCATACAGCATGGCATCAGACAACAGGGTATTTTGATTTGTATGGGATCTTCTGCATTCAGGTATTTGGTAGAATAGAACTGTGGGATTAATGGCCACATTTATTCAAGGATTTTGTTTTATTTCATTTCATTCCTCTTTTGTCCTATTGTAAAAAATGCAATACTCTTGAAGGAGAGTAAAACACAGCGAAGTAAATATCAGTAAGCTATACTGAGCAATAAAAATGTTTTTCTCATGTATGTAATAATAAACAATTCTTTTTCACTATTCTTAAAATTCACCCTTGGAAAGTTTTTAAAAGTACATTTAAAAAGTCAAAGCAAAATAGATTTTTCATATTGACTTTTTAACTCTAACTGGAATATTTTCAAGGAGTATTAAATTTTTCATGATACATTGGCTAAAAGTCCAAGATAAAACTTTATTATGATTTCTTTCAAGTTCAAAATAAGCCATACTATGAAATATTTATTCCAATTGCAGCCTCATCTTATTTCATTTTATTATATATTTAGTATTTTTTTTCCACCTATAGACAAAGTCTAAAATTATATGCTAGCTCATGGATGGATTCATTTTAACATTATATTCTTTTCTCTTTCATTGGTACATTAGAAAATGTTGATCATGATGTATAAAGTTAATTAAGTTATTTCTTACTTGATAGTTGATTCTTATTCAATTATTCTACAAAATTGAATCCAGGACGTCAATCTCTCCATATAAACATTTTTCAAAGAATACCATAACTTGTATTTTCCATTTTATTAATACCTTTAATTTTAGCTATATTTCACGTATTAATTTTATATTTTATCTCATTACAAAGTAAAGAAAAACTGTATGTTTTTCTACTTATTTTCTAAAATTATACATTTGGATAAAATAAATATATTGGATCTCATTTGGTTTAATTTTGATGAGATAACCTTTAGTAATTAATATTGCAAGATGATTTATTCTTTAGTCAGCTTTGGCTAATTGTTTGGCAATAAGAATGTTTTTGTCATTTAGGCTATAATGTGAAAATTTTCCATAAATGAAGTAACCAAAGTATGCAAGTTCAAGGCTTCAAAATATGAAAGCATATTTTATAAAAATTAAGATTAAAAAGTTATAAAAATATTGCATTGGAAAAGGGTGCTGAAATAACTATATTTTAATTTTTTCCAACTTTTTCTGACTATACTATGTATGTTGGGGGTACTCAGGACTACCTTCAGATCTGATGATTTAGTAGGATGACTCATAGGACTCAGCATATAGTTGTACTCAGCGCTTTAATATTTTACAATGAAAGTACAAGCACAAACAGCAAAGGGAAAAGGTGCATGAGGCGAAGTCCTGAGAAAACCAGGCACAGCTTCCAAAGTGGAGTCAGACAGGGCACACTTAATTCCCCCAGCAACAACTGACACTAGCTCTTCGGAATTGTTGTTAGCCACAAAAAGCTTCTTTGAGACTCACTGCCCAGGGTTTTTACTGGGGACTGGTCACATAGGTACCTGCGGCCTGTCATGTACGCAAATCCCAGACTACCAGAAGGAAAGCAGGTGTTCAGCCTAAGCCATGCTGTTTGCATAAACAGTTTAGAAATCATAAGCCATTATTATCTTCTAATGGTGGTGGGAATCCCCCCAAAATCTAAGTTCCTAGGTGCCAGTCATGAGCAAATTTTGCAGGCAGACCTTTCAAAGGGATAGCTTTTTTTTTTTTTTTTTTTTTTTGGGACAGAGTCTTGCTCTGTCACCCAGGCTGGAGTGCAGTGTTGCGATCTCTGCAGTCTCTGCCTCCCAGGTTCCAGCGATTCTCCTGCCTCAGGCTCCTGGGTAGCTGAAATTACAGGTGCACGCCACCATGCCCTGCTAATTTTTGTATTTTTAGTAGAGACGGGGTTTCATCATGTTGGCCAGGCTGGTCTCGAACTCCTGACCTCAGGTGATCCACCTGCCTTCGCCTCCCAAAGTGTTGGGATTATAGGCATGAGCCGCTGCGCCTGGCCAAGGATAGCTTTTTTTAAAGTTCTATGTCAACTCCTTTCTGCACACTCGCTTTAAAAAAAGGTGTCCCCAGGTGAAAGAGCTACCATTATAAAGAAGAACCACTTGCTAAGTCTTGGTAAAGCTTTTCTAGGATACTTCTCAGATATTGAGAAAGTAAATTCTGGGCAACATATTCTTTTGCAGGTCAGGTGGTTTCAAAATTTGCTTTCAACATGATTAAAAACAAAATATTTGAGTTATTAATTGACATACTATTAAAATCATTCCTGATAATATATCACAATTTTGGTATAACATTCAGAAGAAATTTACAAAGTAAGTGACATTGTTTTCAAAATCCCCTCTATTGCCACCTACTTATTATGAGCTCTTGTAGTTCTTTTTGGTTGACATTAAAAAATTTAAAAAGAAGTTTAAGTAAACAACACAAATACATTCTAAAATCTATAAATCGGTATTTAACAGGAAAGTAAAATTTTATTGCAAATATATCTCTTAGAGAGAAAATTGGACTTTTTTTATTCTTTTTTTTTCTTTACAGTTAATGTATTGCCTCATTCTAGTTATTGGTCATATTCATTCAGTGAGACATGAACTAACTTAAAAAAATGCTCACGAGTTTCTTTAGGAGATACATTTGCAATAAAATGTTACTTTCATGTCTTACAGATTTAATAATATGTTTATGTTATTTACCTAAACTCATTTGAAAAATTTTAGATATAAACCAAACAAACTACATTAAATTTCAAAATATTTTAAAGTGTTAGGTGAGCAAAGATGAAGGCAGTAGCTTAAACTACTTATATCTCACTTTACTGAGTTAGAACAATTTCTGTAACACATGGTTATAAAATCAGGAACTGAGATGATGAGTAGAAGGGCAAAATAAAAAATTTCTGTAATTAAGAAGATATAAGAGAGAAATATAAAATTTAAAATTAGAATCATTAAAAGTTAGAATATTTCTGACCTGTACAGGATAATGTAGATTTTCAAATCTTCTCTCATTTTTACTTTTCAGATAAAATAACTGCAGCTAGAAATGTTGGTAATGGGAAGAATACAAGCTTAATATCAAGTGGACCAAGATTTGAATCCCAAAGCTGACATTTATAATTTGTTTCCTGGGCAAAGTTTTTACCCACTGTAAGTTTTATTTTCTTATCCTATAAAATGTAGCTAATACTTATTTTTCTACACTGTTTTATATGAAATTTGTGTGTTCCTATATAATGCCTGGAAAAAAAATAAGTGGCTGAGAAAGATTCCTTTTGGTTATCACAGAACCAGCTGGTAACAGAACTAAGGCAAGGCTTAATCAAGGTTTTCTGATTTCAGTCCCAGGCATAGTCTATCCTTGAATCTATGATATTTCTAAGTGCTCTCCCAATTGAGTTGTTTATAGTAGTACTCTAAACATGATAATATTATACGTATTTCAAAGTACTTTTAATATATTGTTTCATTGATAACGCATCGATGGGGTAAGCATGGAATATGGGACTTTTCCTCAATGAAGTTCAGGAAGGTTAAATGACTTGCTCAAGATCGTCTCATTACTAATAATTAGCAATGGAAGGAGATCAAGAATTTAGCTTTTCTGATTTCTAAAGAAGTTTTCTGACCATAGGCTGTTCTCATCTACAAAATGAGATTGTTAGACTAGATTGTTGACCCCTAAATGGCACTCAAGATTCCCTTTTGCTTCTTTCTCTCTGTCTCCTTCTCAGTCCTTTATCAGGGTTAAGTGCAAGGATCTGTTTTCTGGCCACAATTCTCAGGGGTCCAGTTTTCATGTGGTGAAGACAGAGGTAAATAAACATTTTGGGTGTCCCTTTGACTTTTTCCACTCTCTCTCCAGAGCTGTAGGGTAGGCAAGAGCCTCCCAGAGGCTGTTTCTGGATGGGACCTGGCCCCTGCTTGAGGCATACCCGCATGTTCTTGCTAGCTTTTCCATCTTTTCCTGCCATCTCAGTACTGTGATTCAGAGAGCTGAGATTTGGACTTGGGCTTAGAGGGGAGGAGCAGAGGAGACAGCTTGACTTATTTAATTAAGGGCCATCAAGCCCGGGATGGAGTTCCCTGGTTGTGCCAACATTTCTTGCCTATAATGACGTTATTATAAGGCACCCACGCCTACCTGGCTTGGTCTCTGTTTAAATCTTTTCTTGATAAATCTTAGAGGATAAGGTGGCTGCAAAAGAAACAATCACGTACTTAGGAGCCTACATTTCTACTTGGGTGTGAGTGTGTGTGAGTGTGTGTGTGTGAGTGTGTGTGTGTGTGTGTGCATGTGTAGGGTGTAGAGAGAAAAGCAGAGGGGAACTTTGAGTTCCTCTTAGATACCAACAGTCAAGTGTAGACTCCTGCACAGATGCACATATTGTTGGCTCAAAAATACATAAATAAGACACATATAAGAGTGCTTTCATTCACTTGCCATTGATTTGCTCAAGGATTTATTCAATAAATATTAACACCCTATATGCTCCAAGCCTTGTACTTGTGCCTTGGATAAAAAATATTAAATGAGACACTACACCTACCTCAGTGAATTCAAGCCTGTTGGGAGAAATTGGCAATCACAGTGTAGTAAATGATAGAATGGTAGCACGTACAAGAAACCCGGGTTCACTGAGTTACATCACCTGAATCAAAATGGTTTCCCAAAGGTGTTGAGAGAGAATATGGAGAGAGATTCAGCAAGTTCAGTTTTGGACATGGCTTCTTGAAAGATATTTATCTGCAACCTAAATCTCTAAAGGTTAGAAGTTTACATGAATGGCCTCTCAACTAGGGAATGAATAAGGAAATTGGGGTACCTTCACACAATGGGGTATTACTCAGCAATAAAAAGAAATGAATTATTGATATGTGCAACAACATGAATGAATCTCCAATGTGCTGTGCTGAGTGAAAGAAGCCAGATGCAAAAGTATGATTCCATTTATACGATCTTCTGGGAAAGGCACAATTATGAGGACATAAAGCAGATCAATAGTGGCTAGGGGTTTGGGGTAGGAGGAATTTTCTTCAAAAGTCATGGACGAATTTTGGAGGAGATAGAATTGTTCTATATCTTGGTGGTAGTAAAGTCTCAGAATTGTTTCAGAATTGTTTACTAAAAACAGTGACTATTATTGAATATAAATTATACCTTAATTTTTTAAAAAAGAGAGTAATAATTTGGCTGGGCTCGGTGGCTCACACCTGTAATTCCATCACTTTAGGAGGCCGAGGCGGGGGGAACACCTGAGGTCAGGAGTTCGAGACCAGCCTGGCTAACATGGTGAAACCCCATCTCTACTAAAAATAGAAAAATTAACTGGGCGTGGTGGCGGGCACCTGTAATCCCAGCTACTTGGGACGCTGAGGCAGGAGAATCGCTTGAACCCAGGTGGTGGAGGTTGCAGTGAGCCGAGATCGCGCCACTGCACTCCAGCCTGGGCAACAAGAGCAAGACTCCATCTCAAAAAAAAAAAAAAAAAAAAAAAAAGAGAGAGAGAGCAATAATTCACTTAGCTGTGTCCCCATAGGTGCAGACTTGCACGTGCACACACACATGCCCACCTACGATACTGCTAGGGTGATGCATTCCTTTTTCCTCATGTTTTCCTGTGGAAAGATCCCCAGAAGTGCTCTCAACAGGAGTGTTATTGTCTTTTAGGCAATAGAGTTCTTCATTGGCTGGGACTGTAGTGTGCTTTGCAGGATGTTTGGCAACTCTAGCACACACCTACTAAATGCCAGGAGCATCTCCTTGCATTTCTTCAAGTCTCCTGTGGAGTCTGTCTGCACCCCAGCTGAAAACCACATGCTAGAGCAAAATGAAGAGAGATGAGTTTTCTAATTCATTAGTGAAAGACAGAACTGGTGTGTTTGACTTATTTTTTTCCTTTTTGTTCTTGAGGGCAGAGGGAGGTGGAAACTGTCTACCTGCAGTGAAAATTAACTGTGGTCTGCTCTCTTCCATAACTGATAGAGTTGACTTTGCTTCTTGCCATGTCTTGGGGTTGGGGGTGTGTGTGAAAGTTAAATTCGCATGAGTGTCAGCAAGCCATCTGTCAGCACACCTGCCATGTGTCCCCTGAGCTAGCTTCTTCCAGTAAGAGAGCTGGCGCATTAGTTTCCATCAATCCGACTCCTGTGTCTACCATATCTGATCTTGGGAAGGAAGGAGAAGAATGCTAATTATGGATCCACCACTCCAAATATAAGTAATGGTAATCCATGGAAGTATCAGATGGGATACTACGTATATTCCAACCTTCATTCCCTGCTATAACACATGCCCTGAGTATATTAACCCAGATCCTGGAACTCAAAGTAATACTGAGGGATTGTGAACTTTCTGGAATTAGTTCAGTAGGTGTGTACTAAAAATCGGTGCCGTTTGCTTCTTACAGAACAACAGTGGTTTCTAAGTTCCTCCTCCACCTTTGAATGTAGCAGGTTAAATTTACATAGCAGCAGTCTCTGCCCTGGTAACCCTATGCCAGGTTTCCTAATTGTGTCACTGACAGATCCAGACTGACTTTGCACTGCAATTTGTACTCAGCACACAGTATAAATGAAACCTTCGGTGTTAGGTGGAGACAAGCTTTTGCTTTGAAGTCTGGAACCCCTTTTTTTTTCTTTTTTTTAAAGCAAGAAAGTATTTTGTGAGATAATGGAAGTGTCATAACATGGAACATTATCAGATCTTTTTGTCAGTGGCTTCAAAAGCTAGACACACTACCACATACATGCTGAGGTTGAAAATTCTTGTTTAAACTAATATTGATGGCATTTTAAGATGACAGAGGTGTACTAGCCTCTGAAAAAAATTAAACAGGCAATTTATTCCTCCCACCTTATAACAGAGTCCTTCCAGAACTCTCCCATTAGTATGCTTGTTCTTTCACTGATATCATCCCACAGAATGTGTCTAAAACTAGTTGACTAATCTAATAAACTGTACGACTAAAGTATCAGTAGGTATTCAAATATACCTCACCTTGTTCTAAATGGCTAGGTGTTTTTTTTTTTTTTTTTTTTTGAGACGGAGTCTTGCTCTGCCACCCAGGCTGGAGTGCAGTGGCCTGATCTCGTCTCACTGCAACCTTCGCCTCCTGGGTACAAGTGATACTTTTTTTCTTTTTTTTGAGATGGAGTCTTGCTCTGTCGCCCAGGCTGGAGTGCAGTGGCAAGATCTCGGCTCACTGTAAGCTCTGCCTCCCGGGTTCACGCCATTCTCCTGCCTCAGCCTCCCGAGTAGCTGGGATTACAGGCGCCTGCCACCACGCCAGGCTAATTTTTTGCATTTATAGTAGAAACGGGGTTTCACCGTGTTAGCCAGGATGGTCTTGATCTCCTGACCTCGTGATCTGCCCGCCTCGGCCTCCCAAAGTGCTGGGATTACAGGCATGAGCCACCGCGCCCGGCCCCGGGTACAAGTGATTCTCCTGCCTCAGCCTCCCAAGCAGCTGGGACTACAGGTGTGCACCACCACGCCCAGCTAATTTTTGTATTTTTAGTAGAGAAGGGGTTTCACTGTGTTAGCCAGGATGGTCTCGATTTCCTGACCTCCTGATCCGCCCGCCTAGGCCTCCCAAAGTGCTGGGATTACAGGCGTGAGCCACTGTGCCCGCCCCTAAATGGCTATGTTTTAATATGTAACACCACCTCTTCTGCTTTTTAAAAATTGCCTTTTAAAAGGACTTTCAAAGATTTAGCCAAGGGAGTATTGGTTGGGCTTCGGGCCCTAGAACAGTTTGTGGGAGGGATATGGTGTTCTCAGAGACCTACAGATAACACTGCACAAACGGTTCCTGGCCTTGTAAATACCAGTTTCTGGAACAGAGTTTCTGAATTTCTGTCTTAGAAATTATGTATTTAATAAATGTGAGAATAATTTGTATCACATTATCTTATCGAGGCTGCTTTGTGTTGTTTTATTTGGCAGAGGCATTTAATTTAACAGATATTTACTGAGTGCCTCCTATGGACTGGGAATAACAATAGTAGTAAAAACATATATAATGTCACTCTGTGCTAGGCATTCTTCCTAATATTTCTTTATATTGATTCATTTTAACCCTCACAGCAATGCTATGATGTAATTACTCTCATTAACGTATCCATTCTACAGATGAGAAAAACTGAGGGGTTATGTAACCTGCCCCAGGTCACACAGCTGGTGAGAGGTGAATTTGGTTTGAATTCTCACATTAGGCTCAAGTCTGCTGGTTGGCTTAATGTTGGAAGAGATGATAAGTGGTCCATTTCAAAGATAATTTTGTGTATACATGTAATAAAAACAACAAATGTGAATTAGATTTGTGCAGAATGATTCTAATTATGAAGCAATTGCTTTTTAAGTAGCATTATTTTGTTCACACTAATAGTTTTTTCTCAAAATTAATTATTTCTTCCATAATCTCTTCTGACAAATAATGCTAGTTTTGCATGTAAGTAGAAGCAAATTTTACAGAAATAGAACGTGTAGGTTTTTACAGGACAGTGTAACATTTCTGCTTTTTAATTTATAGATGATTAAAAATCTTCTATTGATAGGGGCCTCTCCTCTCCTAGAAAAGAAGCTTTACAAAAGACTTAAAAACCTATATTTAAGATATGTATGCTATTTAAACTGATCAAAAGTGCAAACATAATTTGATACCCTTTAAATGTATTTATGAAATATCTTTAAACTTTCTTATTGACATTTCTCTGTGAAGAGACCATCATGTGCTTTGTATTCCTACTTTTAATTAAAAGCCACTAGCGTGCATGTAAACGTTTTAGAATGAATTTTGTAAATATTTCACAATTATCTCAGCCAAAACCCAAACCACACACAATATTCATTGTAATAGATGCAAGTACGCAGGGAGAACTCGTTTTCAGATCTTATGTTTGCTTATTAGATGTTGAAAAATATAGTAATGATGTACCAGTGGAAATAATTTAGGTCCACGGATTTATCAGGATATCTTGTTGAAAACGTTATTTACATCTGTACTGTCTTCTGTATGTGTAGAAAAAACGAACTATTCTTCCAGTTAATTCATTCTAAATTGAGAAATTGCTTAGAAATTAAGACAGAGAAAATAATCGTTACTACTCTGTAAATGAACAAAAAGAAATGATTAGAGAAGACATTAACTGTTTCAATATTTTGTTTCTTTTGTTGACTTGAATAAATGTTCTACATTTTTGTTATAAAACATGACTTTTTATGTCAAACGTTCTCCTTAATACTGTTGATTTGTTGGTGACACGTGGCTCCCTTTCTAGAAGTAGGATGGTGACACCTCAGCCCTTCTGCGAGAAAAACAAGGGTGATCCACATCCCCCATCCCTCATCTTAAAGTCAGGTTCATAACGGATAAGGTAAGCTTTCTAATGACTTCACAAATAACCAACCTCAATCAACTTTGGTAATTGATAAAATCATCACTTAACTTTCTGATATAATGGCAATAATTATCTGAGAAAAAAAAGTGGTGAAAGATTAAATTTGCATTTCTCTCAGAATCTTGAAGGATATTTGAATAATTCAAAAGCGGAATCAGTAGTATCAGCCGAAGAAACTCACTTAGCTAGAACGTTGGACCCATGGATCTAAGTCCCTGCCCTTCCACTAACCAGCTGAATGGTTTTGTGTAAACCTCCTACACGCTTGGGCTTGGTCACCTCATTTGTCAAAGTAAAGGCTGAAATAGGAAGATAATGAACCGTGTCTTTTTGGTCTCTTTTCCATCCATTACTCTGATTTTACAAAGAGGCCTGTATTCCCCTGGTGAGGTTGAAGATGAATCAGGTTTGAAAGCCCCCTGGAAGTGGACAAATGATTATCAGAAGACCTCTCAAAGTGTAACTAGTTCACTGAGCACCTACTACTTTCTTCACAGGTCTCTGAAAGGCCAGCAGGATGCTACCTCCTTATCCCTGTCAGTGCCACACCCACTAGCAATGGGTAATGTGATCTCATTAGAGTCCATAGAGTCTGTGTCTTAGAATCTAATATCTCAACATTAAAAATATGTCAGAGAAAGGGATTTGCTTTCACTTTTTCCCAGAGCAGTGCTTTTTAGAAAATTGATACCAGGCCCAAAATTAATTATATTAAATCACAATTGATCAAAAAACTAAATTTATCTGACATGGATTACTTTTAGACATGTCTAGTCTTTTGCAACGGTTATAAGAGATTTTTTATTTTTGCTATCATTTTATGTTAAAAAAACTATTTTCAAATGTATGTCATATGATTCCTGACTTCGATTGGGGCTGCTCTGAAGCAGACCCTGAGACGAGGATTTGGGTGAACATGGTTGGTTTATTAGGAAATATATCCAGGAAAAACACATAGATGGGCGGGGACCTGAAACAGAGATGGGAAAGGAAGTGAAGGAAAGGGAAGAAATCCAAACAAGCTTGCATTATATAGTTAGACTTCATGGAAAACATCTGTGGCTCAATCCAGTAAAGAGGATGTGGAGATAAGGCCTGTCACTTCTTAGATTTGTTCCCATCAGGGATGAGGGTGCTGAAGTATTTACAACTGCACCATCAGTCATGATGGGGATATGTACGTTTCTAGGCATGTTTGCTTTTTCCTGTGTGTAGTCAGAGGGTTCTGGCAGATGGAGGTAGGCCTCCAACAAAGAGAGCACGTGCTGCCTCAGAGAATAAAAATGAAAGACATAAGCAAAGAGATGTGAGAGTTACAGGCAGAATACTGACAAGGTCCGCTGCAGGTCTGTTCTATTTACATTCCACGAGCAATCATGAAGCTGATGAAATATTATTTAATGAAGTTATTTTGTACAAAGAACAGGGCAGTAGATCCTGTTCATCTGTTTTACAGATTAATATCTGTATTGATGAGGGCATTGCAGGAAGCAGATGGTCCACCACACTGGGTAACTTTATATTATTTAAAAATTTTTTTAATTTTTAATTTTTGTGGGTACATAGTAGGTGTATATATTTATGGGGTACTTGAGATGTTTTGATACAGGCATGTAATGCATAATAATCGCATCATAGAGAATGGGGTATTCATCCCCTCAAGCATTAATCCTTTGTGTTACAAACAATCCAGTTATACTCTTTTAGTTACACACTGGGTAATTTGAGGAGACTTTAATCAAAGGGCTATTTAGTAAGGTGAGGGCAGAGGGTTAGGAACCCATGAGGGATCAGTGCAGAACTGGTGGTGGGCTGAATGTCCATGCTTAGATTGGAAGGGGTAAGGAGAAGAAGCATAAAAATGCTGTGTGAAGAGAAGCAGGGTCTTCCTCAGTTGGTGGGAAGCCTGCCAGGGGAGTGGACACTGTGTCTCACGTTCTGCCTTCCTTCCCTTTCCTGCCAGGCCTCTGATCAGCCAAATAACAAGCTGGAGGACTCAGGAGGCCCTTGCTTTGGTTCCTATTGGAACAATACAACATAGAACAGGGCCAAGAAAAGGGCAAAGGAAATACAAAAGGACGCCTGGAAGATTTGCACAGGGCAAAGGATGACTTGCTGAGTTAATTTAAAGTGATGTAAATTGCTAAGACAACACTGCAAAGCATTCATATCATTTTTTTTTTCAAGGAAGAAAATCTAAACATTTTCCTCAGGATCTTCAATAATAAAAATCTATTTATCAAACATGAACTTCTTTTTCTACCCTTTACCAGACTTCCCTACTTACTTGTCTAGAGCAGTTACTAAGAGAGAAATAACCTGATCCTTAGTAGTTCTTTCTTATTACCTGGCAATGAGGCCTTTCCCAGTGCCTCAAGATTTGACCTTTGACTTCATTTCCTATTTATCTCATAATGCCTGAGTTTTTATGGCCTTCTCAACATAAAACATTTTCTTTGGTCACATACATTCCTTTCTTTTTTCTTAAGATTAAATAGGTTATTTCTTATAATTACATAGTGTATGTTTACTATAAATAATACCAATTTTGAAAAATGCTAATAAAATTACCTTTAGTCCACCAACCAGGGAATAATAACTCATAACACATTGCTGTATATCCATCCAATATTTTTCAGTTCACATATGCAAGTGTGTGCACACACAGCCTTTCTTGTAAAAATGGGAACGTTTACAAAATAATTTGCATTATTTCCTTTGATAACTCACAGAAATTCTTCCATATTTAGGTGGGTAGATCTGCATAAAATTTAATCATTGAAACTTTTTAAAATTATGGAAACATCAAGTAATTTATAATATTTGATGAATTCCATAATATTGAACATGTAGATGATTTCCAATTTTGGGACGTTCTTTACAATGATAAATAATGTGACTATAAACTAATTGTATATATGTTTTTTACTTATCCTTGATTTTCTTAGGTTAATTTTCTAGATTTAAATGTCTTGCTGAAAAGTTTTATTCACAGAATTTCTTACAACCCTGAAATTCTTTTTTGAATGCCAGTTCTACGTGATATCTTCAATTTGGCCCAGGTTTTATTTTATCTGCTGGACTGTTAATTATTATTACAACAGAAATATTTCCACTGTATATTTATTGGTCTTTTCAGGCTGAAATTAAGGGAACTCTCCTGAGGCCAGTGTAAGTAAAATGGGACCTGTATTTATGGTGCTGCAGAGGAGTTTCATGAAATCCAAAGTCAGAGTTTTAGTTTGGCCCCAAGAACAGCCTAGGCTGGAGACTAGAGAGCTAAAGGTAACCAATAGATATTTTCCATGCATATATTTGTTCTCTCCTTCTGTGTATAAGTTCAATTAATGCCAGTCTTTCTGAGTTTCCTATTCCTTGTTTAAGTCATTCTTTGTTTCATTGAAAAATTCCCTAGTCCAGTTCCTGCTTTCCTCAAGAAAGGAACTAATTAACTGGACCAGTTTGGGTTTGAAGGTTCACTCCTGGTCTCTTCCAAACCATGGGTATAATTTAAGCTAAAAATGAAAATAAATATGAGCAACAAAAGTTAAAGAAATACTAGTATGCCAAAGGAAAATTTAACAACTCTTTAAAGACATTTTGGGTCATAAGGAATCAAATTGCTGACAATCTGCAAAATACAATTCATGAAGAACTTATGGATACAGCTAAATCAGTGCTCACAGGAAAAATCTATCATAAATAAATCTATTGTTATGATAATAAACAAAAATAATTAAAATCTTTAATCACTCAACACAAGAAATTACAAAATGTAAAAAAGGACATTAGAAGGAATAAATTAAGGTTAAAAACAATAGAAATAGAAATCATAAAAACTGTAAAACTATTACATAGTTTCAAGAGTGCATTGCAGAATTATAGAAAGCTTTTGCTTTAAAATAAGGAATAAGAAGTCCCTGTATATATTACACACTGTAAGTTAATTTAATATGGAGTCACATTTTAATGCAATTAGGTAACAAAAATAATTTTTTAGAAAAGATACTATATTGTTGAAGGCAAAAATGCTATGTGAGACTCAATAATTGAAGCCCAACCTGATTCTCTGTCCCTATGTTAAACAATGCTGGGACCAAGCAATAATACCTTATCTGCATGCTTCAGAATTACTGGCTCCTGAAAGATAAGACTAGGAAAGACCTAAACAACTTATTATCAAGACTAACAGTTTGCTCCTGAAGACTCCCTTCAAGATCGTCTCACAGCTAAGTTTAGCAATCAAAGTAAACCCTGCCCATTTCTAGCATTTATCTGCCTTAAAGTTACCCAGCCCAGACCCTGAACCTTCCTAAATGTATTTTCCTATTTTTCCAACTTTGGGAGACTGCTAAGAATTGTATTGCAGTATGTCTCATACACAGTTTAGCTCCATTAATAGATGTTTTCTGGTGGTCATATGTGATATAATGGGCAGGCTTAACAAAAGACGAAAATGCTAACTTGTGTTCTCTGTTTGCCACAATGTCACTTTGGTTTTGTAGAGATTAAGAAACTGAGCTGCGAGAGATTAAATATTCTATCAAGGTCATTGCCCGCAAGCAGGGTAGGAGGATTTAAAAAGGTCTGACACACACCTGAAATTCTACTTGTTCCATTACTACATCCTGCCTGCAGTTGGCCATCTCTATTTCTGCATTTTGCTGGAAAATCCCACCTTGAGTCCTTTTAGCCTGTACTTTTCCTTCAAATTATCTCAATGGCAGCACATGAGAAAAGCCCTTGAATTGCTCTTTTTATTACTTCAGTTGCTATAGAAATTCTGTGTCCTACCTCTCATCTTACCAGAATGATCATCAAAGGATCTGAATGATTGAATTTGAGAAATAAAAGTAATGATGGTTTCTCATGTATTATTTTGTCTATTTATATGTGCCTACTTGAACCTGAACAAGACTGAAGACATTTAATGCACGTTTGCAAAGGCTGTAGAGCGCATCCAGTGGTTTTACATGCATTGTCTTATTTGAATTCGATTTGATTTGATTCTAGTCTGAACTTATTCTCAACATGTTACCATCCACACTTATAATAAAAACCTTATTACTTTCTTGTGTTTTATCTTCCACTTTTGGCTCATATAAATTTTATATTGTCACTGCATTGGTCAAAGTTTAGCCCTGCAATTTGAGTTATAACTATGTATATCTATCTATCTATCTATATATATATGAAAACAAAACGTATTTGTTTGCTTTACATGTTTTTAGATAATTGGTGTTCCGCTGAAAAATGCCACATGTGATTACATGCTATGGATGAATTGCTCGATGCATGACCATGTCAATACCTTCTTCCAATTCATTTTATAAGTTCCAGGACTTTCACTGGTTTATGGTGACTGGCCCACTTTGAAAGCACAATGAAATTGCCTTGCCTACGTGAGCTAGTATTAAAAACTGTAGGTTAAAATGGAGATTTAAGTGAAGCAAAGTCATAACACTGATTAAGAGCAGAGATATCTCTTTTCAGTTTTTTATTTCCAATAGCAAGTTAAAAACTGTTAGATCTTGCAATCTTCTCTCCTTTCCATCTCTTTTGACCCAAGATAAATTTCAATTACCTAAATCCTATTTCCTGTTGCTAATCACCTACTCCAGTCAGTATTCTTTAAATAGTCATTAAGGCTGGGATGAGATCTCTGTCAGTTCTGAAACTAAGAAAATTTGGAGCAGCCCATTAACATAACAGGAAATTCCCTAATATCCTCAGGATATGTATAGAAACCCATCATGATTAAATACAAGAGGAACTAACATCTCCTGGGGATATTTATTAAATAAACTCATCTAAATACATCTGACAAATACATTATCTTTCCAAAAAAGTCTAATTACCAAGATCCATTTATTTAATTAAGTGACCCTCAAATACCCTATTTTTTTCTTTTGAAATTCCTCTATAATAATGAATTTACTAATAACGAGCTTCCTAAAATGGGTACCAAGACAATCAACTCATTTGTGCTTCTTTCATGTTTCCTATGTTAGACAAAGGCATTCAGAGAAAAAACAAGCCATTATTCTACCCTCTGAGATTGAATAGAATAACTTTTCCTAAAGAATTTCTCAAAAAAAATGAAAAACATTGTTAACTTCAATGTTATTTGTAGCAGTAGCAATAAAATGAATAAAAGAAATAAATGGCAAACTGTGAATTATATTTTAACAAGACGAATGTTTAAGTTTTTCTTTTAATGTAGCAAGAACAATAGCATACCATTTTTCCAGATAATCAAACAATAATTGTCTCATAAAAGGGAGAGGGCAAGCATTAAAATATGTATTCATAAAATGAACACTTGCTATAACACCACTTACTCTGTATTGAAATTCAGCAAAATGAAGACACATTCAAGGAGCATTGCTTATCAAAATAATTTAAATACATTTTGAAGTCGAGGTTTTTTCAATTTAACTTCTCATTAGTTTCTTCTTTTTTATACAGCACCCCCCGCCTCATCCAAGTTGACCTAAATATGTAATTCTCTTCTTATCCAGAAGGAAGAAAGAAACATTCTTCTTTCTTCCTTCTGCATAATTTGGCCATGGCTTCTCCCTGTGTTTAGAATATTCTCCCCATTTCCCTTTGGCCTGTTAATCACAAGTGGCAGTTATAGAAAATGAGAGGAGTGAAGATTTTGAAATTTGGAAGAAGTGGATTCGAATCTAAGTTATCTATCTTACTGACTGAGCAGCAGTAGGGAGAAAGCTTTGAACTTCAGTTTTGTCATTTGTAAACTGGCAATGTATCATCTCGTGGGATTGATCTGAAGGTTAAATAATACAACTAATGTTTTTTTGAAAAGTTCTGTGATACGGAAATTTCTGCATAAATCCTACCCCCTCTGTAAGATTTTCCTAGCAGTTACAGCCACAGAGATCTCTCCAAACATCCTGCACCAAGTCTGCAACTCATTTGGTTCTTTTCAAATACTTTGTGGAGTTAATTAACGTTTAAAGTTCACTGAAAATCAGTTACTGAACACTTGCTAAGATTCATACTGGGTGTTAGATGCTGGTGAAGACAGAAAAAAATAGCCACAAGAATCTCATGTTCTATGTTGAATGAAGGTCCAGTAATTTGGGCTTTGCAGAGCTGAAAAAGACAACTATTACCAACTATATCTCTCCCCCAATTGAAGCAGTGATGATGGGTGGCTCTGAGCAGGTAGATTTAGTAGGAGATAAGACTGTGACCCTGGGGTTTTCTCCTGTTGTGTATTTTTGACAGTCAGTAACAGAGGTCAGATTATAGAGGCTGCGTTCCTCCTGAAGCTTTTAGGTTCTAAAGGGAGCCAGAATTCAATTGAGAGAAGAGGGAAATTGGAACATCAAAGTGGCTAGTAAGTAAAACTCTTTAGGCTCAAGACTTCTAGAAATTTGGTAATAGATACTAACACAAGATATTTATTATCAGCAAAGAAACCAGAAGCCTGACCTAGAAATGCCTGTGATGATTTCAGCTCTAAATTAACCCTCAAAGACCAAAACCTACTTAGTAGAAAACAGGCTGCAAAAGGTTTGCCCATAAGAAAAGCATACATCCCTTTCCTACTTTTGGTAGGATCACAGAGAATAAGAACAAACAAGAAGCTCCTGAATATAAAATTAGGAGTGCAGGAATCAGGGGCTGCCAAATGGGCTTATCCACACCAGAACTACACGTCTGTCAGGGCAGCAGTCTTCCCAAGTCCAGTCTTCCCAGCAGAATTTGATTGTTGCTATGTGCCAGAGATTATCTTGTTCCTAACATCATCTGCTGTTGAGTTTGTGAGGATGTGTGTGTAAATAGCGATGGGGGGACATATAACTTTCTTTTTCATTCATAGTTTCCTAATCAGGAGAAGCAACATATGGAATTTATGGAGAAGACTATCTCCCAGAGATCCTGGACTTTGATCTGAGAGTAGTACCCATCTGGGACTGGTTTTGTTTTTGTTTTTGTTTTTCCTTTGGACAAGAGGTGAATGTACTTTTCTTATGAAAAGAAAGGTGCACAGCAGATATTTTGGTGGTCAAAAGGTCAGGATGTGGCAAAAACTGCTTGTTGTTCCCTGATATACATTTTACTGATTCTTTTATTTGCTTTTATTAATATCATATTTTTTGCAATGAAAATTCGATTTTTATATTTCCCAGACTCCTTTGCAGCTAGAAGTGATGTGTGCATTTAGGGATATGCTTTGAAAAAGAGAGTACATACTCGTCTCACTTCTCTTGGTTTTTATCTTTTTGTTGGACAGAATATGGACATAGCGGTGGCAAATCATCTTAGAACATGTGGATGAGGGAAAAACTCTTAACTCTTACTTTGATGAAGCCAAATAAAGAACCTGGGTTCTTGACAATCTTGGTGCTATGATACCACCACTGGACTACTTATTGCTGGACTGAGGAGACAGAGAGAGAAAGACAGAAAGAGAGAGAGAGAGAGAGAGAGAGATGGATCTTTTAACACCCTTGCTTGTAATATTTGGCATATAAAATCATGGGTTGGGCTAGTTCACTTAGGGCAGTGGTTCTCAATGGGAAATAACATTGCCCCTATCCAGAGGACATTCGGAAAAATCTGGAGACATTTTTTGTTGTCACAACTGGACACTGATTGCTACTGTCATCAACTGGGTGGAGGCCAGAGATGCTGCCAAACATCCTACGATGCACAGCAGGGCTCCCCACATCAAACAATTACTCAACCCAAAATATTAGTAGTGTCAAGGTTGAGTAACCCTGACTTAGGTTAGGAATTGATAAGAGTCCAAAGATTGAAATAAATGATTCATTTGTCTAGAGCATATAGCAGTGGCAGAAAAGGACACTGGAAAATTAGGTAGGTCCAAGTTGTTAAGGTTCTTTCTTTTTTTTTTTTTTTTTTTTGAGACAGAGTCTCGCTCTGTCACCCAGGCTGGAGTGCAGTGGCACAATCTCAGCTCACTGCAAGCTCTGCCTCCTGGGTTCTTGCCATTCTCCTGCCTCAGCATCCCAAGTAGCTGGGACTACAGGTGCCCGCCACCACGCCCAGCTAATTTTTGAATTTTTAGTAGAGACGGGGTTTTACCATGTTAACCAGGTTGGTCTTGATCTCCTGACCTTGTGATCCGCCCGCCTTGGCCTCCGAAAGTGCTGGGATTGCAGGTGTGAGCCACCGCGCCCGGCCATTAAGGTTCTTTAAAGCCATGTGAAGAAGTTTAGATTTTATACAAAGGGCATTTAGAAATTGTCGAGGGACTGAAACAGGATAATATGATAATATTTGCTTTTTAATGAAATAAATTTGGGTGTAGTAAGCAAAATGAACTGGAATGAGCCAGTCTGTAGGTTACTGTAGAAACACAAGTTGAGAGATAGGGTCTCTGATGATGGTAGTGCAGTAGAAAAGGAAAAAGAAGTAAATCGATTTGGAAGACTTTAGGAGGTAGAAGCAATATATTTGATTACTTTGCCACATTGGTGAAGGAGAGATGGGTTCAGGACTTAACCACATTTGTAGCTTGGACTGGAGGTATGGAGGTGGCGCTCACTGAGAATAGGAACATTTCTCTGCCTTGCATATTTTCTCAGGCATAAAGAAGACATGAGTTATGAGGCAAGAGATTCAACAAATATTGAAAGCATCTCCAGAGATTCCTATAGATATTTGGAATTGAAAAGGAAAGCATTATTATTCACATTTACTGGGATAAGCTAGTAGAAATCATCTCTGAAGTACAACAACAACAACAACAACAACAAAAAGCCAGGATATAGGGTCCTGGCAAACCTTTTTACTGAGTATGATAAGATTCTATTACACCAAATACATTCTGTCATGTTGAGGGATGGTCTGAGACTGGAGACCTTTGTAGCTAATATAGAACTAAGAAGTAAATAAGAATACTACAGTGTTCAAGGCTGTTTGCATCTTAGCAACCGTACCTTTATAACTAACATAAAACTAAGAAGTACAGTAAGAATACTACAGTGTTCAAGGCTGTTTGCCTCTTAGCAACTGTACCTTTGTAACTAACATAGAACTAAGAAGTACAGTAAGAATACTACAGTGTTCAAGGCTGTTTGCATCTCTGAGTTGCTGTGGTTAAACATATCTTAGCAACTGTACCTTTGTAACTAACATAGAACTAAGAAGTACAGTATGAGTACTGCAGTGTTCAAGGCTGTTTGCAGAGTTGCTGTGGTTAAATACATCTTAGCAACCGTAGGCAACTTTCTTAAGGTCTCCAAGTACCTTCATGTCAATGCCAGAACCAAAGTCAAATTTTAGAGTTATTTTAAATACTTAAAAGGATTTGTTATTATACAATAATTTGTTTTATATATATTAAATATGTATATATATGGAGCAGTTAACTTAAAAAATTCAACATGTCAGTCCTAGTTCTGGGATACATATTGAGAATTTGTAAATGCTAAATGCATCAGGTACACATTTAATAAAGCTCTCCTTAAGAATAGAAATTTATGCTTAAAGCCTATAAGCTTTCTTGCCTTACTAGGGTCTCTCAGAATAAGTAGTCATTAGTTCTTAGGACTATTAATTCATTATTCCTAAAATTATGAAAGAAAAACTAGATAACAGAGGAGGAAAAAACTCACTAAAGAGTTTTTATTTTATTAAGTTCAAAATTTAAAGCCATTTACAAATTATTGAAATGATTTTGGAACTAAATCTAAGAGAAATTACACCCTAAGAATTATGATTTTAAAGTCTAAGTAATTAAATCATTGTAATCCAATGTGAGTTTAATATTACACATTTAACTCACAAACATAGCATATCCCAAGATATGTGACAATCTTTTTCCAACATTTATTTGGCATGTTTCTACTACTATTAGATTTCTAAGAGGGAGTTAAGAAAAAATTCAAAAATAAAAAAACTCTAGAATACATAGTTGTTTAAAATGTACCGTATATATGTAGTTTAGTATTTCAAGAGTTTAAAAATAATTTTTCTTTGTGTGGCTAATATTTAGAGTTACATTTTCACAGATGTAGTGCCTTTAGCAAAATGAAAAGCATAAGACCTACACCTAGGAGTATTTTTTGAACATTTAATATGTACTATTGAGTTGACTTAAATACATTCTTATTACAAATTTATTCTTTAATATAGCATTCAAAGTGTTTTATACAAAAGCACATAGTAAGTCAAAGAAGTTCTTTTGGTAGAAATGAAAATACAAAAACTTATTTGCTCCCTCTGCTGGAGAGACGGGTGTTAATTTAAAGAGACATAATTTTAAGCTCTAGAAAGCAGTGTGTATGTTTTATTTCTTTAACTCGAGAAGTGGCTTAGTAAGCAAATGTAATGGCATCTAGAAAGGCAGAAACGAGGCACATTTTAAATTTGCTTGGTACTATTCTATTTCAAAGGACTAAAATAAAACGATGTGTTTTTGGAAAACGTTAACTTGAGAATGAAGATTTAAATGTTTGTTTCTAAAGCTTACTTTAGTGTTTATTGTATGGTTTCTCTTCCTAGAGCTACCTGTCTATTTATAAAGATGGAATAAGTGTTTTCTGTTTTTTTTATAGATGATATGGGCTCTTGAGTACTGTATTTTTATACCATTGATACTCAAGCAATAAAACAACAACAGATCTTACATGATTTTTAGTACCTAGAAGTTTATTTATTTTGATTTTTTCCTTCTCATTTCTCAAGTAATCTTCGATGACGTGTTCTGGTACGGTTACAGTGAAGTGTACTAACTAGCAAAGCTAACCATATACCAACCTGTAGATATAATAACAATATTTAATCTTTATTTTGCCCTAACTAAACAAAACTCTGCTAAATTATTTAGTTGCATTATCTTACTTAGTCATCTCTCAAATGTATGTGGTTGGTATTAAAAATAGACCCCTTTGTTTAAAGATGAAGAACACCGAGGCCTAATAAATAAGAAACTTGTCTTAGTTCAAATACCTAGTAAGTGGCCAAGCCAGGATTTTCAACTTGGTTAGCTGCAGCCTGGAGCCTCAGCATTGAACCATTATAAGAATGTTTAAATGATGTCTGTAATTAAATGTCACATGCAAATTGCACGACTGTTTTTAAATGAATACAAACTTACATATGTTACTACAAAGCTTCCATTTCCTCTTGCCAGGCATCATATTAATGTAAGTTACCCATGAAATGTAGGTTTGTAAGAGACTTATTGTTCTTTCAGACTGCTGCTATGAAGACAACATGAACATTTTTTATGGGGAAATGCATGACACAGTGGACTTCCCAGTTAAGAAGTCTGCCTTTAGGTACTGATTCTCTGGGTCAAAAGGTCAAAATTTCTCAGGTTTTCATACTATAAAAGAAGATGTGCCTCTTGAAGGGAAGTCATAATAATAAATCTGAAAAAAATCTGCATGATGCGCTGTGCCTTACAACATAGAATAATATGCTCAATAAATACTCAGTAAAAAGCTATCAGCTCAAAAGCCAACTTGATGTGTAGCTATGCTCCTGTGCATCACATAAGGTAATGGAGTAGAAAATTACCTGGAAAAAATCTTTTACACTGTTAGGAGATACAATTCAATGCTCTTATGCTGAAGAATTTTGAATTAGAGCGTTAACACCTTATTTAATGGTTTGGATACAGACTTCTCACCAATTTAAAGGAAATGTAATAATGCATCTGCTGCATTTTGATGATATAGTCAAACTGTAATACAAGGCCATTGAATCTACTGCTCCTTGAATAAGATTGTATTTTCTAATTATTTTGCAGATGATTGCTGATTAATTGGTTTGACCAATTATGTATCTGATTATGAATGACTCATAGGCCTGCTGTATAGAGGAAAAAAAATGTTATGGGAATTTTGATTGGGGCCATGAAACTCATAGTTTAAGATACAGGAGTTATGATATTTAAATTGATTAATTATTTAATCATAAAACATTTAAGGACTATATGTTTAAATTGATTCAGTTAGCTGGGTAAAAAAACTGCCCACTGAATTGTTTATTGCACACACACATTCTTAAAGAATAAAACAATTCCTCCACCAGAAAATGGTAATTCTATTTTTAATACCAAAAAGTCTCCAACAAAGTGTGACGACATTGCACAGAAAAATCTTTTCAGGAGAAATTGCACCAGTGGTATTAAAGATCCTTCAAATGGCTCAAAGGGCATCAGATGGATCGGCCACATCACCTCAGGAAACTACAGCTAGAAAAGAGGAGAAAAACAGTTCCTTCCACATTTCACAGAGAAGGCTGTGTTAATGGACACAAGAGGCATGCCCAGGGCCACTGAGAAAAATATGTGTGGGGGTATTTCAAAATTCCATAATAGAGGCTGCTGTCAGAGGCAAAGCAATTCTGTATTTCTTTTAATGTGATTTTATTTTTATTTTGCAGGTAGCATGGTCTCAGAAAATACAAGTTTATTTGTGTGGGTTACATAGCATATGAGAAAATTGAGATGCAAGGACGTTGTGACATTTTCCTAGAATATTACCACTTTTCATTGGGAAAAATAAACTGTAAATATTATTTTAGACAAGAAGACCCTTAATGTAGTGATTATCATAATGGAAAAAGGTCTGAAACCAGAGTGTCAGAAAAAGTCCATTAGGCTATGTTTGTGAAGAAGGAACAAAATGGGGCTAATTAAATAAATTCTGTTATATCTACATAATGGAATTCTATGCAGTTGTTAAGAAGAATGTTGCAGGTATATTAAAAATCACTAAAGAGAAATCACTGTAGCTGAATCTTCTGCAAGGCTGCAATCAAGGTGTTATCTGAGGCTGGATTCTCTACTAGAAGCTCAACTAGGGAAGTGCCTGCTTCCAAGCATACTCAGGTTATGGAAAAATTCATATGGAATTACAAAGTATGTTTGAGTAACCTACAGGAAGGAAAGACAAGGAAAACAAACAAATAAAAATAAGAGATCTTAAACAAAACAAACAAAATAAAATGGCAGACAAACCCTAATATATCGATAACTTTACTAACTGTAAATAATCTAAATATACCAATTAAAAGAGAGAGTTTGAGAGAGTGAATGAAAAATATCAAACTATGCAGCCATCCCTCAGTATCTTTGGATTTGTTCCAGGGTGCCTGTGGATCCCAAAATCTGAGGATTTTGCATGTAACGTATGCATATCCTCCTGTAGGATTTAAATAATCTCTATATTACTTTTTATACCAGGTATAGTGCAAACGTTATGTGATTAGTTGTTATACTGTATTATTTTTTAATTGCTATTATTTCTTATTGCTGTATTGTTGCTGTTATTTTTATTTTTTGAGGGTTCTTGAACAGTTGGTTAAATCTGCTGATGCAGAACCTGTGAATCCAGAGGACCAGCTGTATTCTGGCTGTAAGAAATTCACTCCAAATATAATGATATGGGTAGACTGAAAGTAAAATGATGAAAAATATGTATACCATGCAAATATTAATCAAGAGAAAGCAGGAGTGGCTGTATTAATATCAGATAAATTGGACTTCAGAACAAAGTAAATTACCAGAGACAGAAAGCAATATGACATAATGACAAAGGATCAGTCCACCAGGAAGATATAGCAATGATAAATGTATATGCACTGAACAACCTTCATATCCTAAAACCTCTTGTTTAATAGGAATGCTTTTGTATAACTAAAGATATCAGCTATTTAGAATACCTTAATGATCTTAGTTGTCTATATTTACACTATCAATTTAATGTTGTCCTTGGTCTTTCAAAATTTTCAATGTTTACACTTTTCCAATAGAGAGCAATTTTACCAGTCCTTGTCTGGTATACGGTCACTAGTTAGTCAGATGGACACTTTCAGTGGTAACGCTGTTAAGTTTAAATTATTAGCATGTGTAAGGGAAGGAACATAGTGCATTTTGAGAAGCTAGATATGAGATAGAGAATATGCATAAGATTCTTTCCTAACACCATTGCTCAGTGTATAGGTTAGCTATATTCCAATACTACATAACAACTACTCTAGTACTTGATGACTTAAAGCAGTAATCAGGTATTCTAAAAGACCTGTGGGTTAGTAGACTTAGCTAATCTAGGCGGGCTTGAGTTAGCAGTCCTTCCTCAGGCTAAACCAGCTTGGTTACCTTTGTTTCTATCTGAAGGCGCATAGTTGCCTGGGGTGGCTTTACCTATGTGTCTTTTAATCTCCTTGGACAAACTGGCTACTAGGGGTGTGGTTTGTCATATGGAAGTAGCAGAGGCACAAGAGATAAGATGTGAAGTATTTCAAAATTTAGTCTTGTAACTGTCATACTGTTTCTTCTGCCTTCAAGCCATTAGCCAAAGTAAGTTACATGACCAAACCCAAATTAGAAGGACAGAGGAATATAACATTAAACTTTAATGGAACTGTAAACTCCCTTAGCAAAGGGCATAGATGTAGTTGGGGGCAATGGTAAAATTTAACGAGCCTGTTACTACCTACTCTATCAATCCCGCTCCCCAAATCACACACACTCACTCACACACACACACACACACACACACACACACACACACACACACACAGCTGACTAATATCTTTCACTGAGTTTGAGTAAATTTCTGGCTGCTTTACATTTAACAGTATATGTTACTCCACATGACTTTGAAATACATTTTATTTGTAAGTCAAAGCCATGAACACTAATAGCATTTGATATGGTTTGGCTGTGTCCCCATCTAAATCTCAACTTGAATTGTATCTCCCAGAATTCCCACGTCATGGGAGGGACCCATGGGGAGGTAATTGAATCATGGGGGCTGGTCTTTCCCATGCTATTCTCATGATAGTGGTTAAGTCTCACGAGATCCGATGGGTTTATCAGGGGTTTCTGCTTTTACTTCTTCCTGATTTTTCTCTTGTCACCACCACATAAGAAATGCTTTTCACCTCCTGCCATGATTAGGAGGCCTCCCCAGCCATGTGGCACTGTAAGTCCAATTAAACCACTTTTTCTTCCCAGTTTCGGGTATGTCTTTATCAGCATCATGAAAACCGACTAATACAGCAGTGAACTTCCATTCTATTTTTGTCTGCCACATAGTTCAGAAAGACATGCACAAAGGGGAAATGGTTGGCAGTGGTAGGGGCCATGCCATTGGTGGTGAGAACAATTTTATACTATATGTTTGAATTTTCCCTTGTCCACCTGGTGTGTGCTCATGGTCTTTCCCCTTTTTTCTTTCTCTTTTAAAGCTGTTATAAAACCATGGGCTGATTAGGCTAGAAGAATCTAGACACTTTAAAAGTGATCCAGTCTGAAAATATTCAATCTGTGCTTCTCCTAACTACTGGGTTATAAAATGGGAGGGTAGATATTTGAGGATCTTTCTCCCTATTTAATAAGAGGAGATCTATTTTAGCCTCTTTGTCTATTGACCTCACATGTAATGTTTCATGACATAAGATGATTGGATTATCCTCGATCTTATTAAAACCACCCTCTTGTTGAACAGATGAGGACACTGATACTAAGATGTGAAGTGACTTATTTCTTCAAGGTACTATGGCTTAAAACATTTAAAAAAAGAGGTCAGACTTGGCTTCCCTAACTTCAGTACTGTATTAGTTTCTTATGGAGCATAACAAATCACAACAGATTTAATGGTTTAAAACAACACGCATTCATTATCTAGAAATGGCTTAGCTGAATCTTCTTCAAGGCTGCAATCAAGGTGTCATCTGAGGCTGGATTCTCAGCTGGAAGCTCAACTGGGGAAGCACCTGCTTCCAAGCACTCTCAGGTTATGAAAGAATTCATTTCCTCATTCCAGCCAGAACTCATGGTGGTAGGAGTCATGTCAGTTTGCTTCTTCAAAGCCAGCAACAGGAAGAGAGGGACCTAGCAAGACAGACACTGCAATCTTATGTAATCATGTACATTTCATGGCCTTTCCAACATTCCATTGGTTAGAAGCAGGTCACAGTTTCTGCCCACATTCAGGAGAGAGAATGATACAAAAGCATGAAGACCAGAAGGAAAATTCACGGAGCTCATCTTAAAATCTGTCCACCATAATATTGTTCAAGCAGTCAAAATGTTACTAAGTGAAAAGGACATTCACTGTAGGTAACTGGGTGCAAAATTTACTATATTCTCCCCTTCAATTCCATTCCCTGGACTAGATTTACAGACTCATTTAAAGCAAATAGAAAATGGTAGAATTGATGGCGTGTGACTTCTGAGACAGAAGACATTGTGACCTTCTCTTTATGCTCTTTCTTGGATTTCTTACACTGTGGGGAACCAGCTGCCATGTCACGAGGGCATTAAAGTAGTTCTATGAAGCAGTCTATGTGGCATGAAACAGAGGGTTCCTGTCAAAATCCAGCAAGGGATTTCTGCCAACAAACCCCTATGTGAGTGTTGGCCTTCTGCTAACAGCCACAGGGGCCACAGGAGTCAACCATATTGGAAGAGGATTCTGGAGCCCCAGTCAAGCCTTTGGATGAATAGAGCCCTAGCCAGTGTCACCTCATGAGAACCTGAGCCAGAACCAGTCAGCTAAGCCACCTCCAAATTTCTAACCCATGCAAATTGTAAGAGCCATACATTTTATCAATGCAAGTAACCAAGTTTTGGCATTGTTACTCAGCAATAGATAACTCATATAGACAAAAAATGCTTTACTACCTGGTTTCACATCCATCAAGGAACCTCCTGTATTAGGCTATGCTCACACTACTAATAAAGACATACCCAAAACTGGGTAATTTATAAAACAGAGAGGTTTAATTGACTCACAGTTCCACATGACTGGGAAGGCCTCACAATCATGGCAGAACACAAAGGAAGAGCAAAGGGACATCATACATGGAGGCAGGCAAGAGAGAGCTTGTGCAGGGGAACTCCCATTTATAAAGCCATCAGGTCTCATGAGACTTACTTACTACCATGAGGACAGTTAGGGAAAGACTTGCCCCATGATTTGATTACCTCCCACTGGGCCCCTCCCATGACACATGGGAATCATGAGAACTACAACTCAACATGAGATTTGAGTGAGGTCACAACCAAACAATATCACCTCCTAACTGTAGGCTACAGAGGACTGTTTCTGATAGACTGTATTTTATATTTTCAAAAATATCCCCAAAATGTTCTGTTTTATTTTTCCACCTAAATTGACACCGACCCCAAATAGAAACATTCACTTGTGTTAGCACTTAAGAGTTCTTTGTAGAATAAACAACATTTCCATACTGTGTCCCAAAGCTTTGTTGGAGGGGAACTTCGCCCTGGAAAAAGCTGTGCTTTAGTTAACATTCAAATCTCAGAGCAGACTTTTCTACCTGCTCTTCTAAGAAGTGTGTGCTACAGAGAGGTCACCACATTATCTGCAGAGAAATGTTCCAAAGATAAGCAGGAAAGATGAGAACATTGTTCTTGGAATATTTCAGGTGAGTGAAGCCTCAGTGCCAATGCAAATGAATTTGCTCAATGGCTTTACTGGAGAGAAAACAGTCAAAAGATAAAATCTTTAGAGGGAACTATAACTCTAACAAACTTCAAAGAGGTGAGGTGCTACTGACAAGAGCCTATGGATTGTCCCTCCCTCCAGCTGTGAGCACCGGAGCAAAGCAACAAAAAATTCATCAGATTGGATTGGTTTTCTTAATAAGACTGAAATAATATGGTCTAAGTGAAAAAATCAACTCTGTTTGTTAGGGCTTAGTTTAGAAGGCAATTCTTTGTGGTTATCAAAATAACTGGCTTTACAATGGGTGTTCGTACAGGGTAGCAATTCTTCTTGCCTTCTTTACTATTTTTATCTTCTCATTTTCCTGTTTATGATCTATGCATTACCTTATTTTAGCTAAGAGCTGATTAAGCAATGATAGAATATAATCACTTTTCCATCTCAAAAATTATCCTAGAATACTCTTTTCCCAAACTCATCTATTTCACAAATAACGTTATTACTTTTTCTTTGCTATTGGTGTTTCTGTGGTCAAATCAAAGACAACTAATGTATATTCCACTGTGGAAGAAGTAAAATGCATATTATTAATAGTTTAATCTTACCCATACTAAATTTTGATATTTGTGCCGTAAAGGAGTACATTGAACAAGGTCTGGATTTAATTTATCAAGTATACTGAAGTAGGTAAATAACAGCATGGTGCTTGATGCATCAGAGCTGGAAGTATAATGAGATCGGTAGGTAAGCCCTCCATAAAATTACTCTGGGTGTAGGAGAATCCAGATGTAGCAATTATACTTAGCAAGAAGAAGCAGTTCTAGAGAGTGTGAAGCAATTAGTCAGATTTACAATCTCAAAGTAAAAAAAGAGAAAATTACTTGAGTTAAACTAAGAAGCACTCTAAATCATCACTACACTGTATCAATTTCAGTTGAATGTGACTGGCTAGAAATGCTTGGTTTATCTTTACCATTAAATATGTCTATAGTGTTTGACTAGAACCAAGAATATATGGCCCAATATTTGAACTGTAATAAATTATAAACACATTGGCTTTTGTAACGTGTGCATGTCTTTTGGAGGAAAACTCTGAGAACATTTAGGAGAGTCAATATTGATCCATATGCTAGTAGTATTTTTAACATTCACCAAAGTAAAGGGTGGGAATATACATTAAAGAGGATGAAGAAGTATATATGGCAGTGCTTTTAAGTGGGAAATAGTCTGCACTATTTTAGCTGTTTGATTTTATATCGAAACATGTCATTGTCCATTGATTTGTTGAATGGTCCTGAATATTTCTTACCAAGTTTACTTCCAAGGAAGACTTAATGTCCCTAAAATGTTACAAAAAGATTTTGAAATATGCATCCTACATTGAAATATCTATTATATAGTCAGTAGTGGACACACTGAGCAATATTTTCCACTGATTTGTACAAATACAGCTAAAGATGTCAAACTATTCATAGTAGAGGCATCTGATCCCTTCAATTAAAACTTTAGATTGATGAGAGGCACATAATATCACCCCTGTTTGCCAGTAAAATTTATCCTTGAATTTGTCTTAGCACTACTTGGAAAAATAAGTACTCAAATGTCATCTACGTATTTTTAGCAATGAGCTAAAGATTAGAGATACTCATTTTCTGTACAGAGAAGACAATTATCATTTCTACTAATGATCTGTTAAGTATGTGGCTTGAAGAGAAAAGAGAAAAAAATGGAGGGATGTGGTCTAATAGTATCAGTAGGCAGGTGAGGAGGTGTGTATGTGTATTTTCTCACATACACTTTTGTTCCTTAGGATGTTGTAATTAACATAACTGGTCAAATACACCCCCCACCCCACCCAGACACACACACACAGGTCAAATTGATCAAAGCTACAGACTACCTGAATTTCCCTTTCTAGAACCAACCACTCAAGTTCTTCTGTAAAAGCAGATGAGCAGTAACAAATACTACCAGAAATTGTATGGCAGCTTTTTACAGATTAATTAATTTAATATTAAGCAATTTTAAAATTATATTATTGAGCTGCCTATTTATTAGGATAATCAATTTTTCTAATACTGAAGCCTTGAGAGAACTAAAGGGTAAAAGAAAAGGCAATGTTTGTTAGCCATATCATAGACCAGTCAAAGAATTACCTGCTCTGTGGAACATTCCTATAAGTATAAGGAGAAAGATTAAATGATCTATGATCCCCGCAGATTCTCTCTCTACCCTTACCATTTCTTCTTAATGGGTTATTGGTGGGGAAGGAAAGCCAGGGAAGTTTTCAAACTTCCAAGATTTGGTTATTTTTATTGTTAGAGGTGGATACCAGAGTTTCTACCTTTTTGTATTCAGTATTTTTTATATTTGTGTTTGGCAAACACTTTTATAAATCCTTATTTATGCAAAAGAAAGGCAGAAAGACATCAGGGAACATAAATAAATTGCAGAAATATCCTTCTTATGCATATTGATGCAAAAATCTGTAAAGTTAACCAATAGAGTCCAACAGCATGTAAGAAAATGATATATTATGATTAAGTGAGCTTCTTTCCAGAATCCTAAGAATGGTTTAGCCATTAGGTAGTTTTTACCATATTAATAGGCCAAATGCAAACACAGAAGATCATTTTCCATGGATGTTGAGATAGTGTTACATAAAAGTCTACACCCATGCTCCATGCTATGCTGGATATATTGCATCTGTTCCTCTCAATCTTTCTTCACCTTGCTCTGTCCCTCAGGAAGCCAGCCTGTATGGACGCCATCAAAGGACAGTTTCAATTTTGGAGGTCCAGATAAGGTTCAGCCAATGGAGATTCCTGTCCCCCATCTCCCTAGAGGAGATCTAGGGTAAGAAGTCAGAATATTTAGCTCTTGTTTCCCTCTCTGAAGTATTGCTTCCGGCTGACTGTGTCTCTCAAGGAAACAACTCTACTCCCCTTGAGTGGCCTTTCTATATGACTCTCTTACTCTAAGTTCTGCTAAAGGCTTCAACCCCTTGTCCCTTCTAGCCTTCAAGTAATACCAAGTTTACTGAAATATCTTTTGAGGTTCATTCATTGATACCCAGCCTCACCTTAATAAGTCATACCTTTGTTAAAACCAAATTACCCTAATTTCAGTATGTTACCTGATTTCCTCCTGAGACTTTGCTTGGTTCAGGAGAGACATTTCATTGACATGATCAGGCATTGTAGCATATCAATAAAGTATATAACTATGTAAAATAAAATAAGATGTTATTTATTTTACCTAGGCTTCAGGCACAGAGCTTCAGAAAACCCTTGAAATTTACTGAGCGATAGGAATGTCTTTGTTAGGCTAACTGTGACTCAAGGTGGGTCACCAGATAGCCTCAGAATGGGGTATCTTCACCAAAAGCCAATTACATGACCAGAGGGCTAGGGATTTTGAGCTAGCCTGACCTCCAGGGAGCTGATGGGGGCTAGAAATTGAGTTCATTAATCACATGGCCAATGGTTATGATACCAAGAGATAGAAAGAAATTATTTAGGCAGACAGTAAGGGTAAAAGAGTCCTCAGCAAAATTTCCCTTTTGACAAAAAAAAAGCAGCCCCCAAATCATTTCTTTTCTAACAAAGAGCAGCCTGAAAAATTGAACTGCAAACATAGATAGGCAAGCTTGAAGCTTTCATGGGGGAATGCCAGCAACTGTGCCAGTAGAAAAGGGCTACCTGAGGGCTAGGAATGTTCAACATGGAGGCTTCATCTTCCCTTTTCTTTGTCACCATGTGTACAGTAAAGAAACAGGCAGCATGGCACTGGCCAGGTAGAGAACACATCTACGTAATGAAAGACTAGGGTGGGGGTGATCAGCTTTTTGCGTGCTATGCAAATGGCACACCTAGCCCTAGCCAGTTTTTCATGCCCATATGCAAATGACACACCTGGTCCAACCAATCTTTCATACACTATGTAAATCAGATACCACCTCCTCAAGCTCATCTATAAAACCCTTGCATTTCACCACGGAACCAGAAAACCTGCTTGGGACCCCTCTCTCAGCAGGAGAGAGCTATTTTCTTTCTTTCACATATTAAAACTTACACTCTTAACCTCACTCCTTATGTGTCCACGTCCTTGATGATGTCATGAGACATCAATCAATATTGTTCATGTGAGACAATGAACCTTGGGTATTACCCCAGACCAACAACACCTCTTCAATTGCCTACATAATGAAACTCCAAGAAGGAGCTCAGTAGAACTTCCTGGTCGGAAAACACATTGATGTGTCTGGAGGGTGATGGCCCTGACTCCACGTAGAGATTACATAAAACTCTTCAGTCTCTCCCAAGCCTCACCCTATATGTATCTTTTATAAGGCCTCTAATAATAAGTCTACCACTGTGAACACAAATCTCAGTTAATTTAGAATGCTTATTTTGCCAAGTGTCAGATCTCAGGGTCTGTGTCCAGCCAATTCTGAAGTCCGAGGGAAGTGGGTGGATGAGCAGAAAGAACACTCACAGGGTTGTAGGCAGGTGAAAGATAATTTTATTCAGCAGCAACTGTCATCAACAGCTTTCTCAGACTGTTCACCCTTATCTCAGCTGTCTGCTCTGGCTCTGCGGCTCCTGCTGCCCCCAAGTCTGCAGCTGCATGGCCCAGCGGCTCTCCCTTGCCTTCAGAGTCAGCAACTTAACCCTTTCTCTCTCCGGGCACGAGTGCGAGCCATGCTGTGGATACAAGACGGACAGCTCTGGTTCTCTCTCTCTCTTTCTCTGGGTGCCATCATGCCTGCCATGGTAAGCCATGTTGAACTGAGTCAAGCCCCAAGAGCTCCTGTACAGCGTTAGCAGGACAATTATACCTTTTACAGACAATAGTGGCTCAGAGCCAAGTATGAACTTACACAAACAGGTTATATGACAAGTGGAGGTGTGCGCCTGTGCACCAAACTCACTGAGTCATGCAGGCCTGGATAGTTGCCTTGGCCTATTCCTTGACCAAAGCACATCCATGTACCTTACACCAAGGTTGAGGACGTGCACCCATGACAGCCTCAGGAGGTCCTGAAAAAATGTGCCCAACATGGTTAGAGCACAGTTTGGTTTTATGCATTCTCAGGAGTCATGAGACATCAGTCAATATAGGTAAGATAAACATTGGTTTGATACGGAAAGGCAGGACAACTCAAGGCAAAGGCTAGATGACTCAAGCGGGGAGGGGGCTTCCAGGTCATAGGTAGTTAAGAGACAAATGGTTGCATTCTTTTGAGTTTCTGGTTAGCCTTTCCAAAGGAGGCAATCAGATATGCATTTATCTCAGTGAGCAGAGGGGTGACTTTTAATGGAATGGGAGGCAGGTTTGACTTAAGCAGCTCCCAGCTTGACTTTTCCCTCTAGCTTAGTGATTTGGGGGCCCCCAAATTTATTTTCCTTTCACACCATTTTCCTGAGTTGTTCTAGCAAATTATCGAACATGAAGGGGTCATGGGAATGCTTGAATTTATAGTTGATTGGACGTCCGGGTGGCGCAGGAGCCCCCCAAATGCAGGCGGAGTCTGAAGAACAGTCTTGAGGAAGACCGAAACTTTAAGCCTGTGGAGTCTGATGTTAACTCTGGGTAGTTAGTTTCAGAATTGTATTGCAGTACATCCATCCAGTTGAGGGTGAAACAGAACAAACATGTATATTACATCAGGAGGTGGCATTGTGTTTACTGGTAAAACATAAGAAATATTTCCATTAAAACTGGAACATCTACTGTTATATCAGTATTTTCTTTTTATTTAATACTGTTGATAAAAATATGAATTTTCATATAGTAGAACACTGGTTTTGCTGAATTTTACAAGTTTTGATTTGCTTGCCTCTTAATATTTTTACATATTCTTCAGTTTGGATGTTGATGTCTTCTTTGATTCAAGAGTTAATACTTTTCTTTTAATTTCAGAAGCTTTGTTTTTGTTTTCAAATTAGTTTTGAAAAAAATACTGTGACTCCAGTGCATTGTAAACAGAGTGCCTTGACTCCTTGTACCTAACTGAGATCTCAAAGTTAAAACAGAATGAGGTAACATGGCTGGGTGAGGGAATGGTCACATGCTCTGTATTCTCAGAGATATGTTATAAAAGTGTCGCAGGCCTTCCCTTTCTACAATCAAGCCAAATCAGTTGGTGTTGAGATAGACCACAGCTGAAAATTCCCCAGCTGTCCATGAACAGATCACCTGGAACGAGCCAATTAAGAAAAACTGATAACTTTGGCTTAAATATCCTTTAATCAAGACACTGTTTCTCACTCTCCTGACTCCCCACTCTTGCCCTGAGGTTTTTGCCTTTATAATCTTTTATTCCCTGAACCCTCAGACCACACTTGTATTTTACACCAAGGGCTATGTCTCCCCAGTCTATAGATAATTTTTTTTAAACGAAACTCTCCCTTTTTTCTTTCACAAATCTTGTGGTCTTTTGTTAAAATTTCTTTCTTTTTTTCTGAGACAGGGTCTTGCTCTCAGGTTGTCCAGGCTGGAGTGCAGTGACGAAATCGTAGCTCAGCAGCCTCAAATTCCTGGCCTCGCATGGTCTTCCTGCCTCAACTCCCCAAGTTGCTGAGATTACAGGCATGAGCCACAACACCTGGCTAATTTCTAAACTTTTTTTTTTTTTTTTTTTTTTTTGGAGAGAAGGGGTCCTGCTATGTTGCCTAGGCTGGTTTCAAATTCCTGGCCTCAAGCAACCAGCCCGCAATGCTGGGATTACAGATGTGAGCCACCTCATCTGGCTCTATGTTATGAATATTTTTTGATGATGAGGTGAGGATGGGATCTGAAGGGGACCCCAAGCTCCTTTTCTGTGCCACCTGGACCAATGCATTGGCACCTGTGAGAGTTCTTTGAGCTCAGCCACCTTCACAGCTGCACTGGGTAGGAATCAGGTAAGCCCTCTTGGATCCCAGATCTCCCGTTTTTAGGATGAGGACTTGGAGACTTCATTTTCTTTAGGAAGCCTGCCCATCAGGCTCCACAGGGTACCCATTTGTGGGATATGCTTGCACATTGAGGGGTACACTCAGTCTTGGCGAGGTATGTTCACATTCAATTTTGCAGATACTCACACTTCGATTGCACTCGACGGATGCCTTCATAACGTGCATGCTGTGGGAAATCTAGGTTCTACGAGAATGGCTTCTGACAGCTGTCATCAGGTAGCTCAGTGGCTCAGTCTCTGATCAAACACCATCAGGTACTTTGATGGTTTTTCAAACGTAACATTTAAAGATTAAGGCTGGATAAAAATTGACCCAAGAGACACATCTAAATTAAACTATCTATGTGCACAATGAAACAAAGAGGGGTCCAGACCTCTCAAAGATACTAACAGACTTTCCTTTAATCAAAACTTTTGAAAACTCCAAATGCAAATGAGAATCCCTACATTTTTAAAGGAGACTAATCTGAAGACTTAACTGTTGTGTCCAAAAACTTGAAAAGCTCTCAAGGTTGGGCATGGTGGCTCACGCCTGTAATCCCAGCATTTTGGGAGGCGTAGGTAGGTGCATCACCTGAGTTCAGGAGTTTGAGACCAGCCTGGCCAACATGGCAAAATGCCGTCTCTACTAAAAATACAAAAATTAGCTGGGCATGGTGGCACATGCCTGTAATCCCAGCTACTCGGGAGGCTGAGGCAGGAGAATTGCTTGAACCCGGGAGGTGGAGGTTACAGTGAGCCAAGATCATACCACTGCACTCCAGCCTGGGCAACAGAGTGAAACTCTGTCTCAAAATAAAATAATAAAATAAAATAAAATAAAATAAAAAAGGCTTTTAGATCCTAAAACAGGAATCCCTGTAATCCCTGTATTTCCCCGCCCCCTACTCATATTCTGCCTCCACTTTTCCCTTCTCACCATAACCTTCTCTGTCTGGAACATTGCAGGGACCTGGCCCCTTGGTACCAACACCAGCCCTTGAGGCCTTCCGGCTCCTCCACAGTTACGCCTGGGTGAGTCTCTCTGGAGTCTTGAGCCTTCCACGTGGTTGACAGTCCTGTTTCATTCAGCTAGTTGTTCTCACTCCTTGATGAAGGGGTAAGATATTTTCCACGAGACTTTTCATTTTTCAAGAAGCAGGTAATTACTCTGTGGTTCTCTCTCAAGAGCACATTAATACATTCCTATACCATTTCTTCTATTCACCTCCTTTGTGACTTAATTTATCAACAAAACTTCAGAGGGCAAAAGGAAAGCCTTCCTTTGGGCCCTGCAGCTTTGACACAGTAAGCAAGACACCAAAGACACTCTGCTTTTCTAGAAGCCAGGACTTGAGAAGCCAACAGAAAGGTAAAGATTATTTATGATTAAAAAAAAATCACTGTCTCCTCTGCAAAACTGTTTTTTTTTTTTTTGACCAAGTCTCACTCTGTTGCCTAGCCTGGAGTGCAGTGGCCCGATCTTGGCTCATTGCAACCTCTGCCTCCTGGGTTTAAGCAATTCTCCTGCCTCAGCCTCCTGAGTATCTGGAATTACATGGACGTGCCACTCACCTGGCTAATTTTTTTGTATTTTTAGTAGAGATCGGGTTTCACTATGTTTGCTAGACTGGTCTTGAACTCCTTACTTCAGGTGATCTGCCCTTCTTGGTCTCTCAGAATGCTGGGATTATAGACATGAGCCACCGTGCCTGGCCTGCAAAATCTTGATTCATGAGAAAGAAAGGATTATTGTGACTGGTCTTGGGTGTAGCAACTCTGGTGTGCTTTTAGTATTTTTTCTTATAAATATTCATATTACTTGATTCCTTTTCCTTCCCAAAATTGTCTTTTCCTTTATTTTTGTCTTTCGGTGTTGTTCTGTCCTAAAGAAGGGTACCAGAGGGTAGAACATGGACCTAAAACCCCTGTAAGTTCATTGCTCTAGCTGGCTCTGCAGCCTGGTCAGTTTTACAGTTCTAATCTACATTTTTTTGCTCTCAAGGGAGTTTGTCTAAAGATATCCCATTCTCAGGGAATTTTTGTCATCTCAACTCTTGCTACCTGGTAAGTCATGGGAAAGTCCAATCTCAGGAGGGCCTTCTTGGCATCACAGATGAACAGGTCTTTAACTGGTGGCCTCCTACAAATGTTTGGGTCACCAGAGACAGCATATTCACAGACATGATCCTTAACTGTTGTCCGTGGTGACAAGAGTCTTTAGCTATCTCGACCTATTTCTGAGAGTATATTTTGTGTGTGTGTGTGTGTGTGTGTGTGTGTGTGTGTGTGTGTATCCTTGGAATTGCCTCTTTTATGACCTCTCAAGGAAACATCTCTTTCTCAAATTGCCTGCTTTGGATCCCCTACAAGATTTCTTAAAAAACACCCTGGCTGGTCGCGGTGGCTCACGCCTGTAAGCCCAGCACTTTGGGAGGCCGAGGCAGGTGGATCACGAGGTCAGGAGATTGAGATCATCTTTGCTAACATGGTGAAATCCCGTCTCTACTAAAAATAGAAAAAATTAGCTGGGTGTGGTGGCATGCACCTGTAGTCCCAGCTAATCGGGAGGCTGAGACAGGAGAATTTCTTGAACCCGGGAGGCGGAGGTTGAAGTGAGCTGAGATCATGCTACAGCACTCCAGCCTGGGTGACAGAGTGAGACTGTCTCAAAAAAAAAAAAATCCTGTTTTCTAGTGACTAAGATTCTGTGCTTACATGACTGTGGTACAGGTTTGATTCTAGGTCAGGGAATTGATCCCATTTGTTTTAAATTATTTATAAGACTGTTAACCTTCTGGGGTACCTTTTTGTTATTTACCCTTTTCCCTTTATAGACAGCTTTTAGTTTCTTGTCTTTTTTTTTTTTTTTTCTCTGCAGGGTTTACAGAGCTTTTGGGCCTTCATGCATAGGGGCTCAGCTGAAGAACTGAGATCCTAAAATATAAGGCCAGACAGAAATGTGAGTTGTAGTCCATTTAAGGAATCTTTACTTTCTTTGAGTTATCTTTGAGGTGGTTCTGAATCTTGTGAGGACTTATTTCCACCTCTTTAGAGATACTTTATGTGTCCTTGATTAAGTCATAACCCTGGTTAAGCCTTATTGTTTTTAGAAGTCACTTGGAAAGGTAACTCTGGTTAAAAAAAATCCGCAAGTCAGGAATATCAGCTGTTTGTTCCAGCTAAAATCCAATAATAAAAAATTTAAAAAGTTTTTTTTAAAACAACCTTATGGTTAGAGGTCAGCTTAACTAGAAGCTGATAATCAAGATCCTCTTTCCTATTTACTGTCTTTGGCACCACATAAAGACATCTAGAGGAGACTTCTAGTAGCTCAGACTATTTAAGAAACATAAAAAAGGCACCACTCATCCCCTTTTTGGGGCCTTCTGTCTTCTTGTGGAGCCTAAGGAGTAGCGGAGAGGTGATTTACAAGTCTAAAGATCTGCTTTCTTTTACATTATGTTGCCTCATCTCTTTAGCTTTTAGGGGTACTAGAGATTACTTTCTACTATGAAAACAACCACTAATGGGTCATTGGCAAGGGCTACAGATTTAGAGGTAGTTGACAGTGGTTACAATATATGGTTGTTAATACAATTTCTTTGCATGTTTAGATAAAAAGACAGGTTTGAACACTTAGAGGCTATGAGGGTGGTCACCACCGAGAAATAAGAATCCCATGGGGGGTGGGCTGATCATAGAGTGGGCTGACTGTTGTTGGGTCACCAGCGGCCTCGGGGAATGTCTTTACAGTGAGGTACACTGTAAAACTGGGTACGATCCATTCTCATGGCATTTTTCTCTTCTCAGGGACTGGAATTCAGTCTAAAAATGAGATCCTTGGTTTTTAAAGATCTAGATACACTGCCTTCCTTAAATATTAGGACCTGAAAACTGAAAATACTTTCTTTGCCCTATTAAAGAACTCTACCCTGAAGCCAGTAATCTAATTAAAAAAAAAAACAAAGCTAAGTTAAAAAGACTACCTATCTAATTAGATTACTCTCAAAGGTACTTTAAAATTTAGCTGACAATTTTAAAACTTGTTGTAAAAAAAAATTACATCTATTAAAAAGCTCCATTTATACACATAAGCCTCTACAGACTTTTATGATAAAAAAGACATTGGCTTAAAATCTACATAAAAACCTTACCTTAGTCTGAGATACTTTTCCTGACAATCTTATTTTGACTGGGCATTATGGTTAAGCCTTTCTCTTGTCTCAGCAAATAATGGTGTTTATATCTAAGTTCTGTCTCTGAAATGTAAATTTTAACCTAAAAGTCATGTCTTGTTTTTTTTGTGTGTGTCAGTGGTGCAAGTTTAATTTTCAAGCTATTATTTTATTCAATGAGAGGCAGACTGACTAGAATGCAATCTCATTTTTTTTCTGAGACAAGATACTAGCCCTGTGTTGTATACAGTTGCTCAACAATCAAATAAATGAAAGCAGTAGGAGAAACTGCCCCACAGAGTTGCAGTGAAGATGAAACAAATATAAATATGTAAGGCAGTTAGAGCAATGGGTGCACACTAGTCAGTATCACATAAGCATTTGATATTATTTAATCTTCATAACCTCGTAATGACTTATAGAAAATTTAAATTAGAACTGAGTGGAATGCTGGGATTTTTTTTTTAGATTTTTAAATTGATCTCATTTAAAAACAAAAAAATACCCTTTTATTTTAGGTTTGGGGGTACATGTGAAGGTTTGTTACATAGGTTAACTTGTGTCATGGGGTTTGTCGTACAGATTATTTCATCACCCAGGTATTAAGGCAAGTACCTTATCTTTTCTGCTTCTCTCTCCTCTCACCCTTCAAACTTAAGTAGGCTCCAGTGTCTGTTGTTTCCTTCCTTGTGTTCTAAATTTCTTATAATTTAGCTCCCACTTTTAAGTGAGGACATGCAGTATTTGGTTTTCTGTTCCTGCATTAGTTTGTTAAAGTTAATAGCCTCCAGCTCCATCCATATTCCCACAAAAGATATGATCTTATTTTTTATGGCTGCATAGTATTCCATAGTGTATATGTACCACATTTTCTTTATCCAATCTGTCATTGATGAGCATTCCATGTCTTTGCTATTGTGAATAGTGCCACAATGAATATTTGTGTATGTGTTTAAGTAAAAATTTCAGATTGCCTAGCTAACAATTGTCTAGGGCTTGATAGTCTGGTAGACAAAAATATTGAGACATGATAAGAAAATCTTATAAAGCTATAACATCTATTTCTATGTTCATTTCTCTATCTCTATATGTTTTTATGTGTTATGTATATGTAGTATTTCCATACCAAAATACATTTTAAAACCTCTAATTAATTGGCTTAAAATAAGCACATAAATAAAATATTTTACCAAAAAATTTAAAAACTAACTCAATGCGTTTTAGCTCATGTGACTTTAGTAATCTTTGGTAAATAAAACTAGTTTAAAGTTGTTGCCAAAATAAAATTATAATGTCTTCAGAATTGTCATATTGAATAGAATTCAGACATTTTTGCCTGGGCCTACTTTTCAGAAAGGTTTAGGCTGTTTCTCCTAGATGTCTTAGAATCATAACTGTCACTTCTGTAGTATTTTTGATAATTGCTTTATTTGTCTGTGAGTTAAAGCTGTAAGGACTGGCTACTGGGCTTCCTCAAAGCCTTACACATATGTTGCTATGAGCTTGTGTTTGACTTTGAGCCTCTAGAATCTGGGGTCTGGGTAAGGTGCCATGGTGAGGCCTAGGGACATGTTCCTAGTGCCTGAAACACAAGCTACAAGACAAAGCCAAGTCTAATATGGCCCCATCCTTCCTGGCACAGCTTTCACTCCTGGCCACTTGTGGACAGGTTAGATCCTCCTGACATTGCTTTCACAGCTCTGTCCTTGGTCCTGAGCTCTATGTCTGGTATGCAAATTCAGGACTTAGGCCCTGTCCTTCATAGCCACCCTTGGATGCCCCATGGGAACTTAAAACCCAGGAAAATAGAAAAAAAAACACGAAAAAGAATATCTGCGTCACAGTTTTGAAATTCTTGTCAGTTATTTAAACTCTTAAAGTGATGCTATATTAAATTAAGTAATAGTTAATCATAGAATATCTGTGTCATTTCTAGATGCCTAGCTCCTCTTTAAAATTGTTCTTACCTGCTGTAACAAATATGTTATCAGTTCTCCAACCCAGATTTTAATTACAAGACACTTCCAGGTCTTGTCCAGAGACTTAACTGGTACCATCAAACATCAATAAGAGACACTGATAAATATCTCTAAAGATCTGACGAAGATAAAAAATGCCTGCCTATTTACTTCCCTTCCCTTCCCTTCCCTTTCCTTTCCTTTCCTTCCCTTTCCTTTCCTTTCCTTTCCTTCCCTTTCTTTCCTTTCCTTTCCTTTCCTTTCCTTTCCTTTCCTTTCCTTTCCTTTCCTTTCCCTTTTCCTTTTCCTTTCCCTTTCCCTTCCCTTCTTTCTTCCTTTTTTTTTTTTTGACAGAGTCCCAGGCTGCAGTGCAGTGGTGCAATCTCAGCTCACTGCAACCTCTGCACCCTGGGTTCAAGCGATTATCATGCCTCAGCCTCCTGAGTAGCTGGGATTACAGGCCTGTGCCACCACACCTGGCTAATTTTTTTTTTTTTTTTTTGTATTTTTAGTAGAGATGAGGTTTAGCCATTTTGGCCAGGCTGGTCTCAAACTCCTGACCTCAAATGATCGGCCTCCTAAAGTGCTGGGATTACAGGCGTGAGCCACTGCACCTGGCCAGCCTGCCTACTATTTCACCCTGCTTGGCCCAAGTTGTTCAAATTGGCCATGAGTCGCTCAGCTACATGAGTCCCACTAAGAAAACAGATAGATCCAGAAGAGACAGCCACACCACTCTGATGATATGAGACAAAAGTTTAAGCTGGTTATGAACACTGCCTAGAGCAGGTTTTGACCAAAAGCTGGGGAGATGTCCACATATGCCTCTGGACAGACAAAATGAACTCCTGTGGCTAATCAGGGTCTCAAAGTTAAAACAGAAAGAGGCAGCCATGACAGAGTGAGAGAGCAGTCGTGTCCTTTGTTCTCAGAAAGTTACTGTAAAAGTGTCTCAGAACCTCATTTCCTACAGTCAAGCCAAAGTAGTTACTAGTTCCTGTCAGTGCTAAGATAGACCACAGCTGAAAATTCCCCAGCTGACCACCAACAGAACATCTAGAACCAGACAACTAAGAGAGACTGGTGACTTTGGGCTTAAAGGTCATCCAATCAAGACTCTCGTTCTTCTATTGCCCTCCCCTGCCTGAGGTGTTTGCCTTTAGTATCTCCTACTCCCTGTCTCCTCCTCAGGGTTTGCTTTTGTTTTACATCAGAGGCTGTATCTCCCCAATCTACATATTACTTTTTAATAAAATAAAAAAAAAAACCCGTCCCTTTTTCCTCGGAGGATCTCATAGTCCTTTGTAAACAATGGTATTCCAAAATCCCTCTGGAGTCAGAAAATGTTCCTTGATGAGGACTCAGTTCTGCTCCTTGAGAGTGGATTTCCAGTCTGTTTTTCCTTATGACTTTGGCTCTGCCCTCTGAGGTGTCTTGTCTCTTCTATTCTCTTCTTTCTACTCTTTGAAAAACCATGGTGTTTTTTTTTTTTTTTTTTTTTTTTTTTTTTTTTTTTTTTTTTTTTTTTTTTTGGTGGGAAGTAGCTTTTTTAGCCTGGTTCCTCTTTTTACAAAGTTGGCACCCTGAGTTGTTTTGCATTTCATATCACTGCTCTCATTTAATCAGTTTGGCAGTGCTTTTTGCAATACAACTAAAACCTCTGTGGGTAGTTTTTGCATTTGAATTTATTTCATGTGTTTTGCTAAAATGCATAGTTCTCTTGTAGGTGTTTGTATTTTTCTATACTTAATCACACTACTTTGGGAGGAACAGGCTGCTATGGAACAATACTCTCAAGATTCTTAGAAATCTTTTTTTTTTTCTTTTTCTCTAGTTGCTGCCTTAATCTTGATGGAGGACCTACAGCTACACCCTTGCTTTGGTCTATTTCCTGAGTTCAGTTCTTTGAGAATTTTTTTCTTGGCTTAGGATTGGAAATAAAAGACAGTTCTATTTTGTAGTGCCAATTTTGCCCCTCTATTTACTCGAAATTCTAGTTTCAAATTGGGCATTCCCACTCCTCACACCCTGATCCTTGAACTTATCTCTTTCTTGTATTACTTTATAATACACAGATAAATACAACCGTATTTTTAATATCTTGCCTGGTGATTTATTTGCCAAGTCCAATAGCTCATTAGTGCGTCTGTCTTCTATGTTATCACATAAGGCAGTTTTACTAATTGTTTTACCAGTAGATAATATAAGTGTTCATTTTTTCAGCTTTCTGGAACAGTTTCTTTACCATTTTTTCAGCTTCCTCTAACAGTTTCCTTAGACTTTGTCCCAGATTTGTTTCTATATGTTATATATTTTAGATTGTTATTATGCAGTTCCCACTTAGAAGTATAAGGTCTGGGACCACTGGTTAGCTTGAATCCTGCCTGGGGTCTGTCAATTTCCAATAAATAAGAGTCTCTGAAAATAGTCAGGAATCAGTGCCCAAACCTAAGTGTTTGATTTGATACCATTAATTCAATTAAAACAGTCAACATTGGTTTCAAGTCATCTAAGCCTCTTAGATAGAGATGAACAGAAGTCCATATTCTAAGTACATGAAGTCCTAAAACTGGGTCAGTAATGATGAATGAAAGGATGAGATTGTTTAATCCTTGGGTCTTAGGAAGTAGGCACTTTCTTTTCTTCCTTAACTGAAATAAGCATTTTAGTTAAAGAGATGTTAGAAGATCTTTTCTAGCTACTGTCCCAGAGTGAAGATTCCTGGTTAACTAGCTTGGCCTTACTTGGAGGGACTCCTATGCAATTATGGCAGTTGGAGGTATAAATTATTTGACCTTCAGAAAACGACAGCAGAGTATTGTAAAATCAAAGGGATCAACAGAATTGAAAATAACAGAGTGGTTATGTAATTTTGTTGGATATGTCAAACCTTTTAAGTCATGTGACTTTAACAATTGCTAGAATAATTGTTACTTTGCTAATTTAATTTTTATTTATTGTATATTTGTAGAAATATTTTGCATTCTGGGTCATCTTATTTTTTAATAGTCTAATTGGCCTCTGATAAACCTTGAAAAAAAAGCTTTGCATTTGTAGTAGAGTATGTCATAGAGTTAAACCTATTTAGCAATGAAAGGTTGAAATGAAAACCTAGTCATGAAAAAGCAGTAAATTAAAGACCACAGATGGGCTTTTTGATATGTAAATTCTGACACCATAAGTTACCATCTATATAACATTTGGCAAACTTCTGAAACCTCAGTTTCTTCATCTTTAATAGGGAATAATTACAAATACTGTATAGATTTGTAAGTGTGTGAGTGTGTGAGTGAGGTGAAATGTCTACAAAATCCAAAGCACTGAGCCAGGTACATAGATAGTAAGTGGACAAGAGATGTTAGCCTCTTCCATTCTTTAATTTCCTACATCTATTCGGAGATCTGCGATTTATTTTAGGCATTTAAAGACTAGTCTCTAATCTGATTTGGTTTATATTTTATTAGATTCTTTTGAACATATGATCTTAATTATGAAATAATATTTTTATTACACTTATCCTATATGAGAAACTAGAACATAACTTTCTGGATGTAAATTTGGCTAGAAATGAATGTCTTTTCAAAATTCTATTACCATATGTACAATTTATTTCCAAACAACTATTAGTGTTATCTTTCAATTTGAGTAATATTTAGGATTTTTACATTTATGGGATGAACAAATTGTATGGATTTACTCCTAAATATAACACTCCTCAAATTGTGAAATTAGATGTTTTTTTGTTGTTGTTGTTGTTAGGATCAAGTCTTTATTTTTGCTACTAGCAAGGTAGTCTGGATTATCCTACTTAAAGCCTTGTGGCTAAATCTTAGATATTGCTGGCCTGGAAAACAGTGGTGAGCATTTTTCAAGAATCAAATCTTCCTAATCTGATGTGCTAATGACCAAGGTCGGTTCTCATCAAAGTGGAAAAATTGGTCTCAATTTGCTCCTTCATGATTCACTTTGCATTTTACTTTTCTTTTGCAGAAAAATCTTTCCTTCTTTTTCTAGCATTTTGCTTTACTCTCTTTCATCGTGAGGTAAACATGTTTAAAGCATATAAGTATGCTAGGCAATGGACAGAAGGAGATATTCATTTCCTCCCAGTGCAAATTTGTTTTTTGGCAAAATGTAGTTCTTGCTGATATTTTGGCCATGTAGGCCAAATATTGTGTTGTTCTTTTTTTTCTGGAATGGGAACAGATGTATATATTCTCTACAGTAAAGTTTCATGCTGAGTTAACTGAAATCAAGTATTGCTTTACACTTCTGTATAGCAGTTTGGAAATCTAAAATTGCTTTCATATTTTATCTTCTTAATAACCATGTGAGGTAGACAGGATAGGTAGCTTTGTTGTTTGTTGTGTAGATGAAGAAACTGCAAATCAGAGGTTCTAAATGACATACACAGAATCTAGCAGCTTGAGAGGATGGGCTGGAAACTCATCTTTTGCCTGTTGGCTCCATGACCTTCCTGCTAAGGCACCAGGCTTCTCTATTTTTAGCTCAACTAAGCATAAACTGTTTGTACTAAAGAATTTGGGGATATGTGATTACTTATTTTAATTCTGACATACCAAATTATAGAGATGTTTAATTTTTTTGTTCCAGTAATTATAGCGAATTGTGAGAGAGGTGATCTTATAATTCTAGCTTTAGCCATCACATAGTAATTGATAAATGTTAATTCACAGCCAAATAAATTTGCTTAAAATTATTTGTCTGGTGAGTGGACATGTCGTGGGCCATGCTGGTCAGTGTCAGGAAATGCAAGGTGACAACATGAATGCACCAGCATTTTGTAATTACATAGTCAGCTCTAGAAAAAATAAGGAAGTAAATGAAGTTGAAATGTTCCCTGACCTGCTGAAAACTATTTTATTTCCAAGAATGTAAGCCAGCAGCCAAAAGAAATATTTCTCTCAAATGTAAGTATGTAGATCTAGGTCATTTCATGTCAAACTTCCACATGGTAGTAATCAGCAAAGAAGAAATTGCTGTCCATTGAACAATTTACTACATATGATTATTCCTTTATTTGACCAGCTCTTTCAATCCTGTCAAGTCTGCAGTGTCTATATTATTGCCCCATTTTAGAGGTGAGAAAATTGAGGCTCAGAGAGACCAGTTACCAATAATGACAAAGCTCAAATTTGAAGGAAGTGTTGTCAAACAAAATTTCATGTTTTTCTACTCTCCCAAACTTATCAAAAACCAAATGTCTACATTTTCTGTAATCTCGAAATATTTGTATTTGTTCAACTGTTATTCTAAACAGATAATTAATTCATAAGTAAATTAGTCAACATTTTTATTTGCCTGAGCAACCAGAACACTTCAAATTAAAAAAAGCAGACAAATCAAAATATGTTCATTCAGATGTGTTCATTTATTGATTTTTGATAATATTAAAATGTGTTCATTAATTGATTTTGATCATATAAGCCAGATAATTAAAACCTCATGTTTAATATGTTTGATTTTGAATGTAAGACGTGCCTCTGCTGCACTATATATTTGTTTCTGTAGCATAAAACATTCTTTTGCATAGGACAGAAATCTCAGCATGGTTAATGAAGATTAGCCAGCTTAGAAATTTAAAAGGCTTTGACCTGTGTATCTACATGTGAAATAGTTAGATTTAGTACTCAAAAGATTTGTGTGTTCTACTGACAATTTACATTTTAATTACCATGGCACACAATTAAAAAAAAGACTCTTCAATACTATAATTTTAAAAACTGCATAGATTTATTTTCTCAGAATATACATGCGTGATTAATTGCATGCAAAACTCCAAGGAGATCCTTAGTACTTTGCTTCAGCATACAAAGTTTTTATTAAAAAAAAGTATAATGACTCATTAAGGATTCATCTGAAAATTTTTTGCATTTTAAATATTGTTTGGTACATTCTAGTTTTGACAGTAGTGAAATAATTTAATTTGAAGTGGGTTCTCAGTCATGATGAAGAACTGTAATAAATCAACTTAGCAAAAAAAAATCAAGTGTACATCACTATATTAGCTCCAGGCCATTCAAAAGCAGTGACGGCTTTGTTCTACTCCAAAAAGGAATGTTTAATTCATTAGAACAGGTAGAAAATCGGTATGTTTATGCTTTTTCTTGGTACTTTGCTTGAAGATTAATCTTTTGTTCACCACTGGATCTGCACAAAAACAAATTTATTTGAAAGGAATTAACTGTCACACAGTGTGTGGGTCTTAGTTTTCTTAGAGGAAATAGGACGTGGCTGGGGCCTAAACAATATTTCAGTTTGAGGGTAATGTGTTTTCTGGTTTCTACCCTGTCAGATTCTCACCCTGGTCTCCATAAAAGCAAGGAGAGATAGCCTGCTTGACACATTTTGCCTAAAGCAAGTCCTGAAACTGGAATTTATATTCTTCATTTGACTGAGTGCTGATTTCCATAGTTTTGCCAAGAGGCAGAATACAGTATATTTTCTCAAAAAACTTAATACCATTTTTACAAATCAAGTTGTATTTTGTACAAAATAGTGAAGGAAAGCAGGGAAGAGGGGATGCTTAACTCTGAAACAGATTTTTATTTTTTTATTTTTTTTGGTTCATTAACCTAGATAAAAGCAGGCTTTTAAATAGGTTTAAAAAATGTTAACTAACTCATTTATTTTTAGAGGTATTTAAAAATTTAGGATTCTGACCCTCCTTTCTGGCCACAGATGAAAAGCAAAATAACCAATATTGGAAAAATAAGTTAGAAATCATGAGATCTTCTCTTTCTTCAACATCTGGATTGCAACAAAGCAATATACGTTTAGTCTGATGAAGTCAATGAAGTATGACTTTTTCTGTCTACCCACAGATGTTAGTTTCCAACAAAAAAAAATCTCCTTAAGTTACAGGCTGCTCTTTTGGAGATGAATTATCCACGGGTCCACTTAATAACTACCAATGATGCTATTACAACCCCCAGAGATTAATAGAAGATCACATTTTGTTAAATGAAGTAGTTTTCTTAAAAATGGGAAATATTTCATAATTTTATTCTAAATGCCATAAATATAACAACATATACTTTGTTGTTCTTCAAATCCAGGGATAAAAGTATACCAAATTTTCCACTCTAGAATTAAGTGAAAAAGGCAAAGTCAGTACACAGAGACACATGATTTATCTGTGGCATAGATGAGACTTACTTTTACAAGTAATTACAGAAATTTCAACAGAGAGATTGTGCATTGTAGAATGAATGTATGGCCAATCACTATTTTGAAATTTTTCTATAATGACCACTACAACTATAATTGGTCTTTACATTGACAAAAGTCACATCATAATCTTTCTAACCACTCTCCTTCAAACTGGTTTCCTGACTGGAATTCCCCATGTTTGTTAAAGTGGCTACCAACAGCCCAGGCTTGATGCACTGGAGTATATGTTAACAAATTTTACATTTCATCCTGTATATCCTAGGAAATGTCAGTTGACAAATATTCTACCTTTATAATGCCTTCTTTATCCACCTTGTTTTCCCCTAATCCCATTGCCATTACCCACGAGGAACCGGGTAAGTTAATTCAGACTTTGCAATAGAGAAAATAAACATCTTCCATCATTGAAAATTTAAATATCTCACCACCACCATCACCTCCAAACACCCAAGTATCATTCACTCAGGATTGAAGAATTAAACTCTTCCTGCTGTAGAGCAAAGATAGTTGTTTGTTGAATTGATTCTAATGAGCTGTCAAAGTCAATTGAGAACGAACTAGTAGAAATGATTTTTGAACAGCAGTTTTCTCATAGGAGAAGAATGAGTGCTAAAAGAGGTAAGAACGAAGGAAGAACGTTAGTGGGAGGCAGGCATATGATAGACTGGATTAAGAAAATGTGGCACATATACACCATGGAATACTATGCAGCCATAAAAAATGATGAGTTCATGTCCTTTGTAGGGACATGGATGAACCTGGAAACCATCATTCTCAGCAAACTATTGCAAGGACAAAAAACCAAACACCGCTTGCTCTCACTCATAGGTGGGAATTGCACAATGAGAACACATGGACACAGGAAGGGGAACAACACACACTGGGGCCTGTTGTGGGGTGGCGGGAGGGGGGAGGGATAGCATTAGGAGATATACCTAATGTTAAATGATGAGTTAACGGGTGCAGCACACCAACATGGCACATGTATACATATGTAACTAACCTGCACGTTGTGCACATGTACCCTAAAACTTAAAGTATAATTTAAAAAAAAGAAATTACCTAAATAATGAAAAAAAGGAAGTGCTTAGAGAATGAAGGAGGAAAGAAAATACAGGGCCTTTTCAGAAAGTGAGAACCCCTATATTTGTGCTATGATTATTCTTGGAAAAGGACTCCGATGAGGGGCTTTGCTGAAGTGCCCAGGGAGAAGATTTGACCTCCCCTTCTTTGCCTCTCTTTGCCTCAACCAGGTTCTATGTTAGAAATTTTGCTGGATTGGATCCTCCTTCTTATCTAGTTACCTCCTGGGTGAGGAGTAGGAGTGAGCTACTCTATGTTGCGTCACTTTGTTTAGTCCTCATCTCATAACAGCCACCAATATCTTCAAGATCAATAATTAGAGCACTGGGTTACTTGCCTAACCTCTACCCTCCATATATATTTGAGGAGTTGCTGAATGATATGGTTTGATATGTGTCGCCACGCAAATCTCAGCTCAAGTTGTAATCTCCACCTGTGGAAGGAAGGATCTGGTGGGAGGTAATTGGAACATGGGGCGGTTTCCCCCATGCTGTTCTCATGATAGTGAGTGAGTTCTCAGGGGATCTGATGGCTTAAGAGTGTTTGACAGTTTCCCCCTCGCTCTCTGTCTCCCCTGCCGCCATGTAAGATGTGCCTTGCATTCTCTTCGCCTTCTGCCATGATTGTAAGTTTCCTAAGGCCTCCCCAGCTATGCAGAACTGTGAGTTTATTAATCCTCTTTTGTTTATAAATTACCCCATCTCACGTAGTTCTTTACAGCAGTGTGAAAATGAACTAATGCACTGAACTTAATCAACTAGAGGTACCCAGAGCTCAATGGCGTTTAATGATACCACATTAAGACATGTGGGTCTCAGAGATGGCTTTGCTTGGCTCTGATTTATCATCTTTTTTCCTCTATCGTTAGAAGATAAATTTGTAAAAAGGCCAAATCCTGACTCTCATAAAAAATATAAAATGAACACATGTCAAAGCTTTTATCTAACTCATGAATTAATGAGGTAACCAGTTAGATGTTATACAACTAGTTCAAACGATAATTCAAAAAGCAGAAACATATAGGTCAGGAAATGATTTTACAGATTGAAGTAAAGCTGACTCTTTTTCTACAAGGGTCGGGGATCTTGAGATAAGGGAAAGAAATAAAATGTCTCTCCATCAGACAGAAATTATTTGCATGCTTATAGGCAGGAACTTTTTGCACTGTTATCAGTTATCAAGAACTTGCAGAGTTTCTAAGCAGCTCAAAAGACTATGAAAGGTGCAAAACCCTTAGATTTAGAAACTGGAAAGGTGTTCCTCTAGACTAGAGGTTTGCAAACTTTTCAGTAAAGTATCAGATAATAAATATTTTAGGCCTTATGGACCACATACAGTCTCCATTACTTATTCATCTTTTTTTTTTTGTTTGGTTTTACAGTGTTTTAAAAATATAAAAACCATTTGTATTTCAGAGGCTATATAAAAGCATGCCTCCAGCCAGATTTGCCCATGGGTCCTACTATGACTGACCCCTGCTCTCAGCATGTGTGTTTAGCTACTGAATTCACCAATAGTCTTTTTGGTCCATTTTAAAGTCTTTTACAATTTTTCCCAATCGTATTTGGACCTGTCCTTCATTTTGGTATAAAATAAATTTTTTAAGTTACTAATTTCATCAAAGCCTTCTACCTCTCAAAAAATTTCAATGGATCCTTGAAGAATTAAATACACACTTCTCAGACCCGGTATTCAGGGCTCTCTAATCACCCATGTGACTGTTGCAGATTTATTCCTTAGTGTCTCTGCACGTATGAATTCTTTACTCTTAAATATGTCTTATTTTCTCCCTTCTGTACCTTTTCTCATGTTTTAATAATTATTCAGATTTCACTCCACATTTAAAAATCCTGGAAATCTTGTTTCAAAAACCATTTGTCCAACAAAGTCTTTCCTGATCTTTATTCAGGGAACATATTCTTCTTTGGGCCTTCTTTACATTGAAATTATCATTTAGATCTATTGCACTAATCATTGCTCTCTTAATTCCTCTTTATCTGTGTTATTCCCTTACAATACTGACTTTTTCTTCCTTATGATCTAGGTCTTTAAAAATTAGGTGCTCAGTACTTTTGTTGCATTGCATAACTTGTTTCTTCTCGTATTCCTTCGTAATTTTTGGTTTGCTGAAATAAGACCTATTACTGACTTATTGAGATATGTGAAAAGTGTTCATTCCCTTTCTATAAGTAGCCAGGATGGTATCTATGGGAAATCACTTAATATTCTTGCCATAGTTATTTACTGTTGCATGTCAGATTACTCTAAAACTTATTAGCTTAAAATGAAAAGCATATTTATGATGTACTGGTTTCTATGCGTGAGATGTCTGGATGTGACCTAGCTGTTTTTTTTTGGCTCATGGTCCGTCACAATGCAATCAAGATGATGCCAGGGCCTCAGTGACCTCAAGGGTTATCTGAGGAGGGATCCACTTCTAATAAGCTCACTCCCATGATTTTTGGCAGGATTCAGTTTCCTGAGGGTTGTTGGACAGAGGGCCTTATTTTTCACTGAATGTTGGTCAGAGGTCTCCTTCTGTTCCTTGCCAGCTCCGTGGCACTCCAGGCAGCTCATAACATGGAGGTGTGGCTTCATCAGAGTGAGCAAGTGAGAACAGCCAGAGGGAGCCTGAGAGCCAGAAAGCAGGAGAAAGAGAGAAAGAAGAGAGAGAGAGAGAGAAGGAGAGAAGAGGAGAGGAGAGGAGAGGGGAGGGGAGGGGAGGGGAGGGGACGGGAGGGCAGGGGAGGGGAGGGGAGAGGAATAAAGAGAGACTGAGCAGCAAGACAGGAGTTGTCTTTTAAAACCTAATCTCAGAAGTAACAATTCTGTTCATTACCTTTGCTATGTATTTTTTTATTTGTTAGATGTGTTTAAAGAAAGAAGATTACTCATGATGTTTGTAAAAACAACAAGGCCAACTTTATTCAGGACTCCCGCCATAGGTATAGAGACTACTGCAATGGGGTTTTGCAGTAAAGGAGCGAGTTTGGGCTCAACTCCAAAATCCAACAAGGGAAAGTGGGGATTTATAGTCAAGAACCAGGGTGGGCAGGTGGGTTTGTGGATGGAAAATTACTAACAGGAAGCATCAGGGGTAAGGGGGCATTGGGGGCTGAACCAACCTAACAAGTTCTTGCTAATGGCAGGCCAGGTGATCAGACATCACCAGTGGGGTTGTGGGGGATGAGGAATTGATCAGTTATTGAGGGTGATCAGATAATGGGAGTGAAGGATTCTGGCTAAAAGAACTTGACAGAATTCTTGCTAAAATTAGGTGAAGCAAGGGACCCAAATCTAGGCCTATTTGGGAGGAGGATTCAGAGGAGCCTGAGTACAGTTTGGCTGAGGAGAGACTGTCAGAGGCAAGTGTCCAGCTCCAGTCTACAGCCAAAAGAAGGGGATTGCCCCAGGGTGTGGATATTAGGAGGTGGTATTCGGAGGAGGGCATTTTCTAGTCTGCCTGCTCCAAATTCTCTACCCTTCTGTTCTTTACCTCTCAGATGATGGTATAAGGTTGGATATACTGAACTTACAGAATTAGGTCAAAATACTATTATAAATTCAAAATAATGTGAAAATTTAAAAGTATTCTCTAAATATAAGAAGACCATGGGGAACCTTCTATCGAATAAAGGAGAAATTGCCAGATTGATGTTGTTTATGGAAAAAGTCAGAATGAATCCTCAACCAAAATTAATATTTACTGAAAATGTTAATAATTATATTGGACTATGCATTTTCCCCTCTATTATCTAGGCCTCCAGCATTTGGAAATCTGGACAGTTTTCTTTTGTCTCCCTATGGTGTTGCGTATTTGAAACAGACATCCTTGCATCTCAAAAGAGCCTTTGGAAAGAGAATCTTACCACAAAGAAAAGGTTCTCAAGCATCTGTGAAGGTCTCTAATGCTGGAAGGTATCCGTCCTAGAAATCTTCAAAGAGATGGTTTTCTCTGCCTCTCTATGTATTAGATCCCCAGGAAATTATCTTTAAAGTGTCTGGCTAATCTGGTTTAATCGCTCCTGTTTTGATTCTTACTGCTGCCAAGATGATTGCAACTATACTATCTCATTGCTCCAGTAGATGGCAGAAGTATACTGTGCACCAAATTGAAGTAAGTTAGAAAACTTGTATATACAAGGCGTGAGCAAATGGTCTCAACTTGTTTTAAAAATCTGCCTTTGTTGTGTTTGGGACACCGTGGATGTAAAGGGAATTGTAGCATTCCATTACAGACTCCTCTGATTCCAACAGATTTTGCTGATACTTGGCAGAATAAAAAAATAGTTCATAGGAATGTGTGATATCATGTAGAATTAAGTCAGGCCTTATATGCTCATCTTGTAGTCTATTCAATAAGGCTTTCTTCCTTGTTTTCATCTTAATAAAGCAAACTGGATATAATATGGAAATCATTTTAATTAAAAGAAAGGCATATGGCATTTTGTAATTAGAAACCATGAGGATCAGTTATTTAGATAGTGGTGTTCTGCAGTGGGAGTTAAAAGACATGGAAAGACAGAAGACATTCACATTCATTAGTTGTTTTTCAGTTATGTGATACAAGTATATTCAAAGAATGTACGTATTATTGCACATATTGTAGCTTTGAAAGCATATATATTAACCATTTTATTGCTGTTCTTGTCTGTTTATGTTCTTGCTAATTTGACAATACTGTAATTTAAACCAAGGACATTATACAGTGATGTAATTGTATCCACAGAGAAATGGACATGGTGAAATTTATATTCATGTGAAATGAACATAAATTAGGCAAAATTCAGATAATTTTCCCGGCATTGATGCTATATGGAAAGTATGCATACAACTAAATTTCAGCAAGGTAAACCTTGATTTTCTTTATGTTTTCATGATAGAAATGAGATGCATTCTCACTTAAAATAAAGAGAGACAGAATATCCCCACAATGCGTGTTGATAATGATGCCCATCGCTTTATTTCTGCTTTTGACCTAGCAGAATTTCATGGCCTGTTCTCCCTGTGAGGGACTCTACCTTTGGTAGGAAACTACTCAGGGCAAAGGGCCACATCTAGACAGAATAGGTATTAATATTGGGAAGTTTGTTGGTGATGCTTTACAGTGGGCAGATGGGCGGGATTTTACCTGGAGATTGCATAGGTTATCAAATCTGAGAGCTAAAGCAGTATCTTAAAGGGAAATAAATACTGAGGTTCGTAGCTGGGAAATTAGAGCAAGACTGGATGAGCTGTGAGATTGATTTGGGCAGTTCAGGAATTAGTTTTTGAATCGAGTCTGCATGCCTGGGTACTTTTTTCAGTGTGGAGTTTTGGAAGACTTTTTTTTAAAGGCACCAGCTAAAAGGAGCACATTGCATTGATGCCTTTAGGGATTGTCAACCTACAAAGTCCTCTCTGTTTCCTGAGTTTTGCTGATAGCTGAGACCCAATTAGATTGTAAATGAGATTTGGATTACTTTTGGCTTAATATACTATCTTACATATGTTTATAACAAAGCTTAGCTGGCATTTTCCCATCCACTGTAGACATCTTTTGAGGATAACTTATTTGACTAGGCATTTTATTACCTCAAAGTGCTTGGTTTTGAAGGCAGCTTTAAAGAACTGATTGTGCCTTTTCTTCTACATTAGTACCTTATTATTACCCTCTTTTCTTGTCCAGAAGAAATGTTGATTTTCTTTTACAGATTTCTAGTGAATCTGTGATGTTTACTTATCCATTTTTTAATCCCACAGATATTTTTAAAGAGTCATGCAAGTAACTTTATTCAAGGTTTTCTTGAACATAAAGTTATGAGCTTAAAATAAGGCTATCTTGAGAATTAGAATGTTGAAAAATTCAACAAAAGAAAAAATCAGCTGTGAAGAGCTTAGTCCTTGTCGAGAGAATGGCATTAGAGAACTTACCTATATGGTTTTCCCATCTGACATTAGAAGAAATCTATACTATTAATTTTGATGTACTATATTCATATGAAGGAAAGTGGTAGGGCCTCTATCCACTTCAATTTCAATGAAATATTTGTAATTGTTTTCTTTGTTGAAGACAGTACTCAGTCAGAAAAGTTCTTTGGTTTTTGTTTCTGTGCCTTGTTCTCTATCTAATTGTGAATACTTTTTTGGATTTTGTTACTTGGAGTTACTGACAACAGGGTTCTGATATTGGTTTTGACTTTCTATGTTCTTTCATACCTTTTCTCATTTCTTTACTTACTTGAATATTTGACTTTCCAAAACCTTTGGGTGACTTTTTTTTTTTTTTTTTTTTTTTTTACTTTCTAAGGTGTTTTTCATCTCTTCTTCAATTTCCGTGGCTTTAGGGTCTTGGCTCTGCTTTATGCCAAAATATATGCTGTTAACCCATCTTACCTGTGCCTCAGCTTCCTCCCATCTCACAAATACAAATACCACTGAAATGCAATTCCAAAGCACAGAAGTAGAATGTCTTATCTTTATTTGTTTCTAAAAGATTTATTGAAAAGCCACTCTATTTCTTTGCTACTCATTTTAGCCTCTCTTTCAATTTCTGAATGTCAAGCTCTTCTTTCTTATCTCTAACAGAGTTTCATTCAACAATTTAACACAAATTTACAGAACATCTACACTGTGAATATAGTAGTGAACAAAACTGATAGAATCCATAGCCTCATCAAACTTCCAAACCACAAGGGGATGTAGACGTTAAAGACATACTTAAAAGTACTTTGAGAGCTATGTATACCTGTGACAGCAGGATACATAATCTCAGAGAAGGATGAAACATCTTTTCTAACTACTAGAGAGACATAACAAATTAACTTCAAACAAGCATCAGACAAGCACCATTATGTTCACAAATCCAGTGAGTAAAGAATCCAAATAGGGCACAGTGAGATGACTGGTGTCTGCGGATTTAGTGGGAAGATTTATAGGGAAAAGACTGGAATCTTCTGGAGGACATCTATTCAGTTGTCTAGTATTTGCTACTGGCTGTTGGCTAGGATCTAAGCTAGGATTGCTGGCCAGAGTACCCAGAATACCTATATAAGACCTCTGCATGTGGTTTGAGATTTCTCACAGCATTGTGGATGAGTTTCAAAGATGAGTGTCCTAAAAGAGAGTCACATGGAAGCCGCATCCATTTTGGGACCTAGCCCTGGGCATCACATGGCATCCACTTCCACCATACTCTACCGGTTGGTGCTGTGCCAAACTAGCCTAGGTTCAACTGGGTGGGAAATAGTCACCACCCCTTGATGGCCAAGGTACAAGGCTCTGGAAAAGCAAATGGTACTATAAATATTGCTGTGCTGTGACCATTTTGAAAAAAAAAAATACAACCTGACAGAGTATCTTTAAAAAAGTGTTATTTAAGTTAAAGCTGGTTGGAGGGGAATAAATGTGAGAAGGCATTATAGTCAGAGGAAGTGATATGGGTGAAGCTCCTGAGATGAGACAAACAAATGGTTTAGCTAGGAAAATGAAGGCCAGTTTTGCTGGCACAGAGAGGGTGAAAAGGTGAGTGGTAGGAGGTGAAACTAGAAAGATATGGCATTGTAGACCTGAGTCAATTGTTCAGACTTCAAACAAGGGTTAGAGGTTATTTTAAAGGTCTAGAAACCTTTTCCCAAGGGACGTAGGAGACCCTGTGCGGACTTTGGGAATGACATGATCAGGTTTGTGGATGTAGATGCCAGGATCCTGGATTACAACATACAATCATAGGCAGTGGAGCCAATTAAGTAACTATTGCAGTGATTGAGGTAAGAGACAAAAGTGAGTTGGGCTAGTGCAGTGGCAATGGAGATGGAGTCAAGTAGAAGATTCGAGGTATAAATTAGTTGGAATAGGCAGGATTTGGGAAATGGTTTAGCTGTAAAGGGTAAGAGGGTGGTCAGGTTTGAGAAAATGTTCTAGGTGTACTGCTTTGGAAACTATATATGGAAAGATTTGAGTAGCAGGAATAGGCTTTTGGGGAGATTACAAGTTAAGTTTTAGGAATATTGAATTTGAAGTGCTTTGAAAGCTATGCTGACATGTCCAGTGGAAGGTGGATTGTATGAGTCAGGAGCTCAGCAGAGGTGAAGTGTACATTGTGAACCATCAGCACATGGATGGTACCTGCAGGCATGGATTGGATCAGAAGAGGGTATCAATAAAATTGAAAGCAGATTCACAAATTATATTACTTAAAGATAAAATATAATTTCATGAAGCAGAAAAGGAAAATTGGATTGGGACATGGATTTTGACTTTTCTTACACTTTAAACTCCTTCAGGGCAGGGACCATTTCTTTGCAGAACAAATTTGAGATATACTTACAGGTAGAGTGGGTAGGATTTAGGGAATAGTTTGGCTGTAAGGGTCCCTTTGCAGGGACCATTTTATTTTTCCATATTACATGGGAAAATTCGTAGGCATGAGGCTGGAAAATATTGAATCCATGAATAGTGAAGAGTAATGAGTATGTTGATCATTAAAAAGTAAGGCATTGTTTTATATAGGTTTAGATTCATGTGTTGTGAGTTTAAAAGTGCTCTGTTGATAGTAAAAAAAAAAGTAAAATTGGTATTAAGAGTGAAGGTGAATAATGAGAACTTGTTATACAAATTTGTGAGATTGTATTCTAAAATTATACTCAATGAAACTCTGTAGATCTACGAATTTCCTATGGTAGTGATTATTTTCTATTTTCTACAATTTAAAAATGTGGATTTGAAAAGAATGTGTCCTGGTCTTTGAAGTCCCTCTCTGTCCCTTTGAGGGTGAATAGAAGAGTTGTAGGTGTGTGTTAGTAATACTGTAGAAGTTGTTGTGGTGGCCATATCTAACTAATGAGATGTTGGAATTTGTTTGAGAATGTCATCTAATATATGGAGTAAAGAATGACCGCTGAATGTCTCCAGCTAATTTGTCTTATTTCTTACTGCCCTAAGAACATTGACATTAAAGTTAAACTTCCATTAATATGTGTTTTCTTTTTCTTTCTTTTTTCTTTTTTTTTTTTTTTTTGAGATGGAGTCTCGCTCTGTTGCCAGGCTGGAATACAGTGGTGCAATCTCAGCTCAGGGCAAACTCCACCTCCCAGGTTCAAGGGATTCTCCTTCCTCAGCCTCCCAAGTAGCTGGGACTACAGGCGCCCACAACCACGTCCAGTTAATTTTTTGTATTTTAGTAGAAATGGGGTTTCACTATGTTGGCCAGGATGGGCTCGGTCTCCTGACCTCATGATCTGCCCACCTCGGCCTTCCAAAGTGCTGGGATTACAGGCATGAGCCACCATGCCTGGTCATATGTGGTGTTTTCTGACTCTTGGTCGATTACTTCTAAGAAGCTGCTCATCTTGAAGAGAATGGGCATAATTAGGAATAATAATCCTGTTTAGTAAAATATTTCTAATCTCCGAAGCCCCAGAATGTTTTATTTTTTCAGCAAAGAGTGACTGAACACTTTGGTAATAGTATTAGCTAATGTCAATTGCCTTATTATTTTCCAACCTGCATCTGTATTGGGGGACTTCCAAAGACTGAGTTTATTACAGAAGTATTTATAAACTTCATTACTAAATAATCATAAAGTGAAAAAGTTGATTTTATAGGGTTCATTCACTCATTCATGTAATATATATTAAATACCTTCTACCTGCTACTTACGGTTTTAGGCTCTGAGGTCCAAGAGATGAGCACACATTGCATTAAGGAGCACCCAGTGGAAAAAAGAAGAAAATCTAGAAAATGCCCTACTGCAATTCAGGGTGTTATGAAACTACAAAGAACTGTTATCTAAATCAGAAGCTTTCTCTAATGCCTCTAGTCTAAAATGTAGTTGATTTGAATTAATTCCTGCACAAGACAATAGGTATTACTATCTCTAGCATTTTAAAAAACATTGCAAATATCCTAGAAAGGGGCAGCATAGATCCATAGTGTAAATAGGATAATGTTTCACTTTTCTATATGATGGATGGGATGTAGCATAATGGGAGATTATATATGAATCTCTTTGCTGACCGCAGCAAAAGATAGAGTTCCCCAAAAGCCTAATTTTCCCTGCTAGATTCTACATTGTGCCAGGTATTGTGCTTTATGTCTGAATGTGATTCATTGCCAGTGATTCTCAAAACCATTAATGAATATTTGAATCACCAAGAGGACTTCTTTTTTTTAATTATTCTAGAGTACATGTGCACAACATGCAAGTTTGTTACATATGTATATATGTGCCATGTTGGTGTGCTGCACCCGTTAACTCGTCATTTACATTATATATATCTCCTAATGCTATCCCTCCCCCTCCCCCCACCCCCTTAAAGGCCCCGGTGTGTGACGTTTACCACCCTGTGTCCAAGTGTTCTCATTGTTCAGTTCCCACCTATGAGTGAGAACATGCCGTGTTTGGTTTTCTGTCCTTGTGATAGTTTGCTCAAAATGATGGTTTCTAGCTTCATCCATGTCCCTACAAAGGACATGAACTCATCCTTTTTTATGGCTGCATAGTATTCCATGGTGTATATGTGCCACATTGTCTTAATCCAGTCTATCATTGATGGACATTTGGGTTGATTCCAAGTCTTTGCTATTGTGAATAGTGCCACAATAAACATACCTGTGCATGTGTCTTTATAGCAGCATGATTTATAATCCTTTGGGTATGTGCCCAATAATGGGATGGCTGGGTCAAATGGTATTTCTAGTTCTAGATCCTTGAGGAATTGCCACACTGTCTTCCACAATGGTTGAACTAGTTTACAGTCCCACCAACAGTGTAAAAGTGTTCCTACTTCTCCACATCCTCTCCAGCACCTGTTGTTTCCTGACTTTTTAATGATCACCATTCAAACTGGTGTGAGATGGTATCTCATTGTGGTTTTGATTTGCATTTCTCTGATGGCCAGTGATGATGAGCATTTTTTCATGTGTCTTTTGGCTGCATAAATGTCTTCTTTTGAGAAGTGTCTGTTCATATCCTTTGCCCACTTTTTGATGGAGTTGTTTGATTTTTTTCTTGTAAATTTGTTTAAGTTCTTTGTAGATTCTGGATATTAGCCCTCTGTCAGATGGGTAGATTGTAAAAATTTTCTCCCATTCTGTAGGTTGCCTGTTCACTCTGATGGCAGTTTCTTTTGCTGTGCAGAAGCTCTTTAGTTTAATTAGATCCCATTTGTCAATTTCGGCTTTCGTTGCCATTGCTTTTGGTGTTTTAGACATGAAGTCCTTGCCCATGCCTATGTCCTGAATGGTATTGCCTAGGTTTTCTTTCAGGGTTTTTATGGGTTTAGGTCTAACATTTAAGTCTTTAATCCATCTAGAATTAATTTTTGTATAAGGTATAAGGAAGGGATCCAGTTTCAGCTTCCTACATATGGCTAGCCAGTTTTCCCAGCACCATTTATTAAATAGGGAATCCTTTCCCCACTTCTTGTTTTTCTCAGGCTTGTCAAAGATCAGATGGTTGTAGATGTGTGGTATTATTTCCGAGGGCTCTGTTCTGTTCCATGGGTCTATATCCCAAGAAGACTTCTTAAAGCAGAGTGCTAGGCCCCAACCCTAGAATTTTTGGTTCAACAGATCTGGAGTGGGACCCAAGAATTTGGATTTCTGATCATTTCCCAGGCAATGCTGTTGCTGCTGGTGCCGGAACCACACTCTTAGAATCACTGCATTAGATACACTGCTTGTCCTCAATGAATTTACAGACAGGTGGAGGGGACAGGTAAGTGAGCAGGTACTAACAATACAGTGTCATAAAAGCAAAGGGAAGTGAAGATTTGAGCTGAGATTGCTTAGAATAATCAACCTTCTGATTTGTGTCAACTGGTGACTTAGCGACCTGTAGACAGGCAAAGTGAAGAAAACATTTGATGTAATTATTAAGTTACTCTGTCCCCAAAGCCCAACAGTATAAACCTTTTATTGAGAAAGTAAAACGACAATGCTGCCTTGATTACTTGTCTGTGTTGATTGGTTTCACCTGCTAAATGCTTCCCCTCACAATTCACCTCACCTTTGTAGATTTAACCTTACATCATTTGGGAACTACTTTTCTCTCCAATGTCATCAGATACAGGGTGGCAGTGTTTGTGTTTCTTGACAGCTATATAAAGGTGCAACTATAAGTTTGGGTTTCATCTTCCTTCCTTTTATGTATAGTTGCAAATATAATAAATTGTGTCAGAGCCTAAATAAAAGTCCTTTCTTTTCCTTTTTTTCTCTTTTTTTGGCAAGGTTTATCTTCTGACCCAATTTAAACAATATCAACTGAGAGATTATCTTATTCAATGAAAAGAATGGAGAAATCTAAACTTTTGAAGACAGATTTCATTAGTACAAAGTAGCAGTGTGAATACCCTGTAATCATTTTACTTGAATCATCAGAGGGTGAAAGAAGTTATTTCTTTTAAATTTCACTGTAGAGAGAGATTGAAGAGCAGTGTCAAACAGTGTAGTTATTTTCCTCAGATGTCAGGTATTTAGAATTGTCCCAGAGTAGAGAACAATGATTGTAAAAGCATATTTGGAAACTAATGAATGCTGTTGCCTCATATTTCTGTCTTCTGAATTGCTTTCAGATAATTCTGTGTTCTCATGACTCTCTTCCTCCTACCCCCCTGTCTCTTTGTTTCTCATGCACTCTTACAAGATAAAGAGACGTTTCCTGCCAGCTGATGTCTCAGGACTATTCGTAAGGTTTAATCCTGTGTCTGTCTCATCTTATTTTCCTCTTATATAACAGCAAAGTTTGACCTACTTTTCCAATTTATATCACTTAATCTTCCCTGTGATTTTGTCGTCTCCTCCAAAATACCATGGAATGGAACCCAGGCTTCCTAATCCTGATTTGTTTTTAACAGGCACCTAATTACCTTTTTAATTTTGAAAGAATTTACTCTTAATAATTAGAAGAGGACATATATAGATAAGCAAAATTAAAATTTGATCGGGAGGTTATAGAGTCATGAGATGTCTCATAGTGGCCTCTTTGTAACTCTACCTGCTTTTAAAATGGCTTTTCTCTGACTCCCTGATCCATTTGAAGCCCTCACTCCCCATGTCTCTGATTGTTTTGGGAATCTCTAAAAGGTAGTTTTCACGTAAGACATAATACTATACCTTCCCCCATTATCTAGCTGTCCTTACCCTTGACCCCTTTTTCTTTCTGCTGATGACAATCCTATATGCCTTTATACTAATGTAGGCATCTTACTTTTCATTGCCTGCATTCAGCATGGCCACCATGGACCACAGCAAAACTTTCCCTACTAAAACTTTATTTGATGCCATAAAGAATATCTGCATTTACCTTATATTCTACTACCAAGTACTCAAAACTATTTTTTCAGCGGTCTGATCTAGATCCCACCAGTTTACAGTAAATAAATCATCAAGTTTCACTGTATACTATAGACAGTTTCCTAGTTCTTCCTGCCTTTTCCCTCCTTGCTTTCTCAAAACAAGGGGCTTTGAGACTCTTTCTTGGTACTATGTCTTTGGTACCAATATCTATTCTAGACAGGGATAATTGATTGTAAGGAACTGAAACCTGCTCAAGATTTCATAAACTAAAAGGGAGGTTTATTATAAAGCTTGGCTGAATATAGTCAGGTCTTATGGGAACTGTCATTGGGAGCAAGGGTTCTGTCTCGAACCATGTTTAGTTTTTCAGTATCCTTTGGGCAAAATGATTTCCTTTAGGTGTTTATTCATGAGCCTGGCCTATTTTGCTCTTCATAATTTTAACTTGACTTTGCTCTTTCACTTGGCTCCCCACAGCTCGTTGACTCCCCACAGCTCGTTGACTCCATATTCCAGGGTCTCTGAATAGACTGAAGAGATGGGTAGATAATCTTCATTCATCAGTTGTCCTTTGGGGTGTGGCTGCAGGAATAAGTCAGCCACTCTTTCACTACTGAAAGGATTTCCTCACACTGATAATTTTTATTGTCAGAACCACTTTTACCAAAAAGTTAGATAGGTTAAGTTACTTTTAGAAACAATTTAAATGAAAATTGTACATGTAAAAGCAAGCTGTTTTGAAACTATCTCAAAGGTAGGCCCTTGATAAAGTAAGTAAAAAGCGCACATGTTTAGTATACAGCAAAATGTGCTTTGACAATTGCAATCTCTGTTTTTATGTCTACAGAGCATTTAAGTATTCAGTTTAAGAAGAAATCCGCATGTTAATAAATAATGACAGACCTAAGATAGTGCAGGATATCTGCCAACCAGAGTAGTAATCGATGACTATCAACAACCTCAAAAAAGAGAGAAGGTAAACTTTGTAGCAGGTGCTTTATAAAGCAAGCTTGAACTACAACTTTATCTGATTTGTGGAAAAGTTCTCATTGATCTGCAAATGCCATTTTCTGTAGAGGCTCTTACCTGCAACCTCCTAAATTATTTGCCAAAAAAAGTTTAGGAAGAAAATGAACCAGAAGAAAGTAAAAAGAAGTATTAAAGTATGAAGTAGGGTATTATAATATTAATATTTTTCAACTTTTTATAAGGTACAAATTAAATGCACAATGTTGAACATTTTCTTTCCCTTAGAATATTTTATGCTTTTATTTTAGGGTTAGGGGTACATGTGAAGGTTTGTTAAATAGGTAAACACATGTCATGGTGGTTAGTTGTACATATTATTTCATCACCCATGTATTAATCCCAGTACCCAATAGTTACCTTTTCTGCTCCTTTTCCTCTTCCCACCTTCCACCCTCAAGTAGGCCACAGAGTCTGTTGTTTCCCTCTTTATGTCTATGAGTTCTCATCATTTAGCTCCCACTTATAAGTGAGAACATGCTGTATTCGGTTTTCTGCTCCTGTGTTAGTTTGCTAAGGATAATAGCCTCCAGCTCCATCCATGTTCCCACCAAAGACATGGATCTTGTTCTTTTTTTATGGCTGCATAATATTTCATGGTGTATATGTACCACATTTTTGTTATCCAGTCTGTCATTGATGGACATTTAGGTTGATTCCGTGTCTTTACTCTTGTGACTAGTGCTGCAGTGAACATTCACATGCATGTGTTTTTATGGTAGAAAGATTTATATTCCTCTGGGTATATGCCCAGTAATGAGATTGCTGGGTCAAATGGTAGTTCTTCTTTTAGCCCTTTGAAGAATCGTGAGCACGTTTTTGTTTTTTTTTTTTAACAAGAGCTTAGCCCGGGCAAAACCTGAAGTCTTTAGAGGATGGCAGTGTGACTTAAACCCCTCCTGAGGAAATCCCTTCCCATAAGGCTCCCCAGTCTTTATTCCTTCTTAAAAATGTGAAGCAATCTGTTTTTTAATTTTTGTAGATGGTGCTCCAAGTAAATATAATTAAAAATAATTTACATTCATCTGTTACTTGGACTATGCATTTGTATTAAATTCTGGAGTATAAAGTTTTTCTTTTTCCTTTTAAATGGAATTATGAACAATTTCAGTCAACAATAATTGTGTTGAAGCTGGGTACAGTGGCTCACACCTGTAATCCCAGCACTTTGGGAGGTTGAAGTGGGAGGATTGCTTGGAGGTTGAAGTGGGAGGATTGCTTGAGTCCAGGAGCAAGAGACCAGTGTGGGCAACATGGTAAAACTCTGTCTCTACTAAAAATGTAAAAAATTAGCCAGGCATGGTGGTGCATGCCTATAGTACCAGCTACTCTGGAGGCTTAGGTAGAAGGATTGCTTGAGCCTAGGAGGTTGAGGCTACAGTGAGCTGTGATCATGCCACTGCACTTGAGTGTGGGCGACAGAGCAGGACCCCATCTCTTAAAAAAAAAAAAAACACATTGGAGGAGGAGGTAAAGCGGGGATGAAATCATATAATTGGTCCTAAAGAAAAAACTGATTGGGCTTTTTAGTAAAATTTGTGGGCAAAGTCAATGGCTTTTTGTTTCTTTGTCCTATGATTGCTTGGGGAAGCCATAAGGAAGAACAAAATGCAAGATGGAGGTTTAAAAGTAGTACCAGATCAAGCAGAAGGGCTGTTTTCCCTTTCTGAAATGTATTTATTCTACAAAAAAAATTTTTTGGTTCTTTCTATCAAAATCAGTTTTATCTGATACTATGACATAACTAGTATGCATACAAGCAATGCAATTTGTGGCAAAGTATAAGCTGTAATACAGTTACCAACACATTTTACACATTATGGCTTTGTGTTAAAAACAAATTGCTCCACATATATTTATTGTATGTCAGATATTTTTCTGAAACCATCACCCAACCCCTAGATCTTCCCTCAAGCTGTTCCTCTTCCCTGTGTAAACATAGATTGGATTTTCAGTGTCTCTGTCTTTAATCCACACTGCTCCCTCCCTTCACACTGAATGAAGCAGCTCTGACAATACAACTTTGGTATCAGAGCCAGGACTGGAAGCTGCCACTCATAATTCCAATCCAGTCTGTTGTTTATTGAACCAGTGGTGAAAAGTTTTTGAAAAAATGAAAAAAAAATGTTTTCTATATGTATATATGATGAAATTAAGTGACATTTTTACATGTAGTTAAATATTCACAAGAAGCAGCTTTATGTCTGCCATGGAGTTTAAGCCCTGCCCTGGCATCAGGATCAGAAAGTGAGGCACAAAAGTGGGGAAAAGGGTAGTTTCAGTTCAGAGGTACTATTTTCACATTCGAATCTGTCCATTTTAACTTTTACAGCTACTCTCTTTTGCAGAAAATACTCAAGTTAACGGTATCAGTATATTCAACTGAAAAAGTTTTCAGAACAAGTTTCTCCCCTACTCTAAATAGCTTTGGATAGGAAACAGCATATAATAAGAAATAACTGATCTAAAGTAAAGAGGCAAGCAATGAACCTTCTCACAACCTGGTGGGATAAACTTGAATATAGAAAGAAGTTATCATGGAATTTCATTTCTGGAAGGCTAGTTATCTGGTTCTCAGGTCAAAATATGTACATGAGAACCCCTGCCAAGGCTGGCTAGTTTAGAGGTTTCCAGATAAGTCCTTCATGGATAATGCAGATTTCATACTTGTACTTGATCTCTGGAGGGAAGCATCACAAACATTTTCTGTGAAGAGTCACACAGTCTGTATGGCAATTAATCAACTGTCCTTGTTGTTGCCGTAGACAATATGTAAATGAAGGTGTTCCAATGAAACTTTCTTTACAAAAACAGTTCGTGGGCAGGATTGGCGGGGGAGGCTCTTCTTCCCTGCCCATGTATGTCTAACTACCTACTGTAACAAGAGGAAGACCTTTACCAACTTCAGAAGAACACTTTCCACACAGTTATGGATACTTTTTTTCATGGGTATCCACAGTTCCAGCAGGAGCTGCAGTTTGTCTGGCTTTGGAGCCTTGGTACCAGTCTCCATATCAGTACCATAACTAGCACTAGCATTTGCATTTAGTGCAGAGTGTCTTGACCCAGCAGAACAAGTTGGGTACAGCACAACACATGCACAGTGAGGCTTCAGCAAGGGGACAAGAAGAGTGGCAGTACCTGCAGCAAGAGCAAATGCTGTCAGGGAGTTTTCTGGGCTTGGAGGCTTTGCAGGATAAATTATCACAGGGAGTTGAAACCACAGGAAGTGGATAAGCAGAGGATCTGGCATTGCACGACAGGTGAAAATAAGGTGCTCAGAAGTATGTATGGAACAGATCTGCTGAACTCTTGAAGTTTGGTGGAAGCCCCACGTAATGTGTACATAGTATTGGAATGAGGGATGTACTGTTACTTTCTGAAATTGTGACTTTGTTTTTACTTCCAGGTTAGGATTTAGTTTGTGTTACATATTTCTGAGTACCAGTTTCCAAATCTGCATAAGGGATAAACAAGTTTACTGTAGGCACTTTTAATAAAGATTAAACCAGAGTACACAAACTACTTAGTAGAGCACATGTATAATTCTCAATACATGTGTAATTCAAGTACAAATGCACTTCCCTATCCTCATCAAGCCTTCCTTATCTGTTGCTCTCTTAGCGGTTCCTGTATTCTAATGTTTAAGGGCAATCTGAAGTTTGTCCCTCATGTATTTCCAGAGCTGTCCACTTGGCGGTTGGTTCTAAGTGTGGGATGTTCTTTCTCAATGTGAAGCTCCCAGTCCTGCTGAGGGCTTCTCCGCCACTCAGTCCCATAGATATGGGAAACTTCAGTCTCTCTCTAGAGGCTGAACATGAGAACAAATCAAGAGGTAAATATGGGTAGGCAGTTTTACCTTTTCTGCCTTGTCCTTTAAATTATCTTCCCTCATTCATCACTACAGGTCGGACAGGTAGATAGGCATGTTTTCCTGAAGAGTTGGAATTATTAAAATAGGATTACCGGGCCAGGAGCAGTGGCTCACCCCTGTAATCCCAGCATTTTGGGAGGCCAAGGTGGGTGGATCACGAGGTCAGGAGATCGAGACCATCCTGGCTAACACGGTGAAACCCCGTCTCTATTAAAAATAGAAAACAATTAGCCGGGCGCGGTGGCAGGCGCCTGTAGTCCCAGATACTCGGGAGGCTGAGGCAGGAGAATGGCGTGAACCCTGGAGGTGGAGTTTGCAGTGAGCCGAGATTGCACCACTGCACTCCAGCCTGGACGATAAAGCAAGACTCCGTCACAAAAAAAAAAAAAAAAAAAAAAAACGATTACCACCCTCAAAGTATATTTAAAAATATACAAAACCATGACACCTATATAAATGTAATAGGAATATATTATTGTTTTTAATCTCATTGATTAAAGAATAATCCAGTAAGATGTTACAACTAGTTCAAAGGATGCCACACACATCAAGATTACTCATAAATGCTGAAATGAATTTACAAATAGATGCAAAAGTGTTTGGTTTTTTTTTTAATGGGGTGACAAAAGTATGGGGCAGGAGAAAAATCAATTATCCTTCTGGACAGGAGTTATTTGCATGTATATGGACAAAAGTAATTTGCATTGCTATCAGTTATCCATATTTTACAAAGCTGTAAATAGCTCAAAGGCAATGAAAGAAACAAAAACATACGTTCAGGTAATCCTGAAGGGTGTGCTAGACAATGCTTACTTTTCCATTGAACATACCCAGCAATCTTTCTGTTCTGTTTAAAAGTCTTTCACAATTTATCCCTACAGAACAAAGAAAAGAAATGGTTAAAGCTGTGCATGAAATATGATTTTCTTGGGATTCCAAAGAAAAATTATTGAAAGCAGTCATATCCTTAATTTCTATGCTGACTTCCCCCTTTTTACCTCTTTCTGTCAAAGATCTTCCTACTTTTATTCTCTTTCGGTACATCCCTACCCATGTTTCAGAATGTTCAAGACTTACCCAATGAAGTACTTTAACTGAAGGATCCAGTTGCCTCGTCCCATTATATATTTCTCCAGGCAAGTCACTCAAACAGGACCACTTTAGCAGAATCTTTATTTCTGACTGTAAATACCCAAGGTCTATACAATAAACCAAGGAGAGGGGCTTTGCGTGGCAATCTAGCCTAGAGATGCTGTCTTCAAATCTGGTCTTCATGAATTCGCTCCACCTTCATGAGTTTCATTGTGTCTGTTTCTGTTCTCACCTTTTCAAGGAGTTAAGATAAGAATTGTAGGGCATATTTACACATGTGCCAAGAATAAAACTAATTAACATAGGCAGTAGGCTAAATCTATATTGAGGAGAAAGATAAATGTTATTCAAACTGCTTCATAATTTTTAAGGCCGTTCGTCTGCATAGAGTCAGTCAGTAGCCTGATATTGCATGGTCATGTATAGCTCTTTTCCTGATTGTAATGAGTACTCTTTTGAGCCTTCTGCGGATTAGGAAGGAACCACGTATCTCTTTATGGCAGTACCTTCAGTTTCAAAAATGAAAATTTGAACCAATTGTTCTAATAAGGACTCAAACTCTTAGCTTAGTGTTTGTCAGGAAAAAGGGAAGGAAGGAAGATTAAGTCTTTCATTTTCAAATGTTTGTTCACCTTCCTTTTCTTTTTCAGTCTGGGAGAATAAGTAATACCACTTGTTAGAGCAGTATCTAAAATAGAAGTATATACATAGTGAGAGAGGTTCTGAGGCTGGAGTTGTCAAACTTTTTCTGTAAGGAGACAGGTAATCAATATTTCAGTCTCTGGGGCCATAAGGTCTCTGTCACAGCTACTTGGCTCTGGCACTGCAGTGTGGAAGCAGTCATAGACAATATGTAAATGAATGGGCATGCTGTGATCTAGCACAATTTTATTTACAACAATAGATGGTGTGCCAGATTTGGTCCATGGGCCATAGCTTGCTTACACCCTATTTAAGTGTTGTTAATCCATGAAGTGCTTCAATGGAGTATTTGCGATAAAATTCTTCTATTTATTGAGTTTATTCTAAGTACATTTCCTCTTTTGTTTCAAAAAAGGCACAATGGTGTATAAACCATGTTTGAAAAAATAAGAATTTTAAATTAGAGAAAGATACAAAATAATTATGAAATAATAGGATGATGGTGAATTAAACCTGTAAATTGTTCTCCGCAGGGTATCCCAATCTCAGCATCCTTGCCTTTAATGGATTTTTGTCTACGCTGTGTGGCTTTGCCTGTGTTCATTTCACTTTTTAACGTAACACATTTTCATCTGGTGCTAATGGTTTTGAAAATAAAGCTTTAACTGACAGCATACTCTAAAAGAAGGTGTTTATGGCTGTTGGGGAGATTTTGAGTGTGTGTGCGTATGTGTGTGTGTGTGTGTGTGTGTGTGTGAATTTTTGTTTTTCTCAAGTCGCACTGACTGGGGCCCGCTATCTACCCTGGGTTCTACCTGCTTCTCTCTCCACAGTGCTGAGAGGCTCAGAACAACTATAACTTGAGCTTACAGAGAAGTCTGAGACTAGAATCTAGTATCACACTAAAAGTCTTCTTTTAACTTGACTTCTGGCAGACTTTTAAAAGAGTCCCTCAGACACTCTGGCATATAGATAAGGAAATAAAAATGTGATGGAAAGATATGCTATAAAATAAACAAGAACACTTTCTTACTTTATCTTTGAAGAATCTGTTAGAAAATTCAAAGAAACTTCAGGTGAGTCTGAAGCTATACCTACTCCAAAGAGCTTGTTATTCCTTGACCACCCCTTAAATGTGCTTTAGAAGCCATATAAGAAGTGAAAATAAGTTCTTGAAGAATCATAAAGCTTTCACCATACCATACTTGATTAAAAAAATATGTAGGTTAACATCTGCACTTGATGAAATATCTGTGGCCAGAAATGACAGGAACTCAAAATTCTACCCAACCTGCAAGATCATTTTCTACAAAGAAGTCTTCTCTCATAATTACAGTACTTAGAAATATTTACTTCCTTTGTACTTTAAACATATTTGTAGGGTGTTTTTTTTTTTTTTAGATACATGGCCTCCCTTTGTCATCCAGGCTAGAGTGCAGTGGTGTGATCATAGATCACTGCAGTCTCCAACTCCTTAGATCCTTGGATCAAGTGATCCTCCTGTCTCAGCCTCCTAAGTAGCTGGAACTACAGGTTTGTGCCACCACACCTGGCTAATTGTTTTTATAGAGATGGGGGTTTATTACTTTATTGCCCAGGGTGGTCTCAAACTCCTGACTTCAAGAGAATCTCCTACCTCAACCTCTCAAAGCTCTGGGACTAGAGGTGTGAACCACCACTCCTGGCTCACATTTTTTGTTTTAATTTTTCACTTTGCTACATATTTGCATTCCATCATTTACTGGTGTCTTCTCTTCCTGAACTCTTAGATAGTGAAGTATTTTAGGACTCAATCCTAGATCTGTTTCTCTTCTGTGAGTATGCCCTCTCCCATGCTGATTCCACCAGATTTTATAATCTAAAACCCTTTCTATTATCTGATGTCCCTCAAAATGCATATCACCAGCCTCGATTTCTTACTTGAACCTCAGGCTTGTATATACTAGGGTCTCTCCAAAATTTTCACTCTAACTTCAGCATTCCCACCCCCTACTGCCTGCAATATCTCAGCCTAACAAATACAAAATATGTTCTGTATCTTGTTTCTGTTACTCCCATTGCTTACACCCTCAAAGTCCTCCATCTTACTTAAGCACCTGACATTCACCTACTTACAAAGGCTAAGATGTAGGAGTCATTGTGACCATTCTTTCTTCCCTCACTACCCACATTTACTACATTAACTTCAGACTATACCAAATCTGGCCCCTTCTCACAATTTCGACTTCTTTTACCTTAATATAAGCCACCATCTTCTGCTATGAAGACTTCAGCTATGTCTTCCTCCCTTATCCCCCAGTTTCCTCCTCTCACTCTCCATGGTCCAGTCTCCACACAGATGCCAGAATGATGTTTTTTTTCCTAAGGTACAACAACAGACCATGTAAATCTCCTAATAAAAAGTATCTAATGACCTTCCATTATAAGTGGAATAGCATAAGTTACAAGTCCTTACTGTGGCTCAGAAGGCTAAAAGTAATCTGATTTTGTCTACATCTTTGATGTTTTCTACCACTCTTCTCTTTGCTCACCATATAGTACTCACACTGGTCATCCTCCTGCTCCTTTTTACAAGTGTCATTAAAAACAACATCTCATTTTAACTGGGATTCCTCTATTTGTGAGAATAAGCATAGTTTTAAATGTTTATTGACAATTCGTATTTCTTCTTCTTGGACAAACCCATTCAAAATGATCTCATTTCCTCTAACAAAGGAAAGATCCTGGTGATCCTTGGTTCTGCTCCTTGGTTCTGCCAGTCCTGTTCTTTCCTCGGAGTCTTTACCATTGCTGATGCCTCTGTCTGGAATGGCCTGTCCTAGGTGTTTTACGGTTGGTTCATCCGCATCAGTCATGTCTTTGCTCCAGTGTCATCTTCCCTCCTGTCTAAGGTACACACCCCACTGACTACCTAACACTTTAGCTCCTATTTCTTATTTTCTTCATAGCACTTAGAACTTTCAAAATTTATGTCATTCATTTGTTTGTTTGTGGTTAGCTTTCCCTTCTACAATGTAAACTTTATAAGTTTAGGGACTTGTATGACTTCTTACCCACTTCCCCAGGGTACAGAATGTCTGACATATAGTCTGTGCTCAATATATATTTATTGGATGTGTTAGTGTTTTTATAATTTATTAACTGCTCCATTTAGATGTATTTAATTTAACTAAAATTTTCTTAAAGTTTCATTAAAAGCAGCATCTCATTTTAACTGGGATTTCTTTATTTGTGAGAATAAGCATAGTTTTAAATGTTTATTGATAATTTGTATTTTCTCTTCTGGGACGAACCTGTCCAGAATGATCTTATTTATTTCCCCTTACAAAGGAGAGATCCCGATAATCATAATAGTATAAGTGGCAAGACTAGAGTAGAAAAAGCAAATAAAATTAGGATAGCCACTTCACCAATCTTTATTCATGACAACAATTTAATTTCTTTATAATCTATACTTAAAGAAGCTTATAAGAAATAAAAATGTCCTCTGAAAGACCCAACTTTTTTTTTGAGATGGAGTCTCACTCTGTTGCCCAGGCTGGAGTGCAGTGGCATGATCTTGGCTCACTGCAGCCTCTGCCTTCCCAGGTTCAAGCAATTCTCCTGCCTCAGCCTCCCAAATAGCTGGGATTACAGGCACGTGCCACCATACCTAGCTAATTTTTGTAGTTTTAGTAGAGATGGGGTTTCACCACATTGGCCAGGATGGTCTCGATCTCCTGACCTTGTAATCTGCCAGCCTCGGCCTCCCAAAGTGCTGGGATTACAGGTGTGAGCCACCGCGCCTGGCCTCAACTTTTTTTTTTAAAGCAATTTGTGAATCTTGGTATTTTTCTTGAACAAGCCAATGTCTGGTTCTGGTTGACTTTTGGCTAGGATTTAACTTTACACAGCTATAACCCATCCTCAAATAACAACATAATTGTTTATATAAATTGATATAGTAGAAATTGAAATATTACACTAAATAATCCCAACAAACCAGGCTTTTCAAAATAAATATGACAAAACATAATTTGAATATGATGTCTTTTCATTTTTTAGGTTTTCACCAATTTTAATTCTAATACTTCAAAAGTCTGTCAATTCTTTATGTATTTAATACTGGACAGCTCACATTATTAAAGGTAATGAAATTATATTGTGCAATATTTGTGTACATGATAGAGCTCATCTCTTTAGTATACATAGTGTCTTTAAATAAACAAACTTATGCTTTGCATACAAGATAACTATTACCTGGTCCATATTTACTTCTTCCTTGGTATTTTTTATACTAGAAACTTACTCCTCTGTGTAAGGTGCTGCCTTGGAAAGACACCCATCCTCCTGGTCAGTGATTTTAAACTCTTTCCTTGGTGTTCTTGGATTTGAGTGGATTCTGGCATTGATCTCCCCCAAAGACAAGAAGCTGGCAGGTTAACAACATTCTCTGGCAGTCACCTTCCCAGGGCATGTCTTAGCCAGGACTGACCCCACCCTCTTTCCAAAAGTGAAGGGGGCAAAGATTGTTTATAGAATCAATGCAGAGGCGAGGAGAAGGAAAGTCTGAGAGAGAAAGGAGGAGAGCAGGAAGTTCTTATTTATTTACCTAAGAAGTAGGAGGGGAGGACTTTAAGTAAGAGGCACAAGCCTTTGTGCACAGAGCACAAGGCTCTGAGTGCCTCAAATACATTGACACATAGTTTGATAAAATGTCACAGAAAAGATAAAATGCCTAGTGTTGTTTCCAAAAGTACACTCAAGAGTGGTCACTGAGAGTAGACCATAGTGTGGGAGGTCAGATGAAAACAGTCAAGAGTCCATGTCTCTTAACTAAAACCAAATGTGAATTTCTGGTCTTTTCCATGATGATATAACGTATCAATGTTAATATGCAGATCCGGGAAAGATGACCTCATTGACTTACAGGTCAAGGAAGAATGTGGGCAGAATTCAATTTTGAGAGTGCTGCAGAACTTTGCTATTCCTTTAAACCAGTTTACCCACCCGCACAGGAACAAAGTAGAATGATTTGAGTATATTTCCCTGTATTTATTATTTTTTTAATTGAGAAATAAAATTCTATGTGTTTATCATCTACAACATGATGTTTTGAACTATATATACATTGTGTAATATCTGAATTGAGCTAATTAACATATGCACTATCTCACATACTTTTTATGGTGAGAACACTTATCTACCGTGTGGGCCAGGGCTCTCAGAACCTATTTCCACCAATCAAAAACTTAGAATTGACATTAGCTGTCTTCTCAAGCATTATAAAGACGATTCAAATGTAATGTTATTTTATTTGCATGACTCAAATATTTCTTCCTTTTCTCCTCTTTTTCTCTTAATCTCTTTTTAATAAAAATGTATATTATTTATTTTTGAATGAAAAGCAAGATATTCATGAAAATATTTATGTTCCAGGCAAATGAATCAATTTCCTGTACAATTAAATCAATTTCACTTTTGGCCATTAATAAAATCTGTATGCATTGTTTTCTGGATCAGGAATTCACTTATATATAAGTCAGGATTCTGCTTATTTTAAATGACTAGAAATCGTTATTGCTAACAGGTAAAGTAGAGGAACTATTGGCCAACATGGCAGGATTTTAAGAAGAGCATTCTTAGTCTTAGAGATGCTTGGAATTAGAAATGCAAATGCTGCCAATAATCTCCCACTTTTCATAGCTCATCTAGTGCCTGAAGATCTTATTCCTTTGGTTAAGTCAGAGATACTTATACCCTAGATTATATTGACAGGCAACTCAAATCTCAAAACCAACAGCTCCTGTCTAACAGTTCACATTAGAAAAATAATAAGAGGTGGTTGCTTTTCCTTAGGAGGCCATCCTGACAGGATGAGAGAATTTGGTGCAGTGAGAGATTCACCAGCACTGGGAAATCCAGGATTGCATTGAGTTTATCACCAGCAGCAACAAGAAAATTGTAAACTTTCTCAACTTGTTTCATATGTCATGTCCTTTAAGACTCCTAATTCTATATGAGAAGCTGACAGCCCTTGAATGGAGAATAAAATACACTGAAGCACAGTGACGAAAGGTCATTTAGAACAATGCCATGCTGCTGCTTTGTTTTTATATTTATTTATTTATTTATTATTGTTTTGAGATGGAGTCTCACTTTGTTGCCCAGCCTGGAGTGCAGTGGCATGATCTTGGCTCACTGTAACCTCTGTCTCCCAGGTTCAATCGATTCTCTAGCCTCAGCCTCCTGAGTAGCTGAGATTACAGGCATGTGCCATAAGGCTGGCTAATTTTTTTGTATTTTTAGTAGAAAAGGGGTTTCACCATGTTGACCAGGCTGGTCTTGAATTCCTGACCTCAAATGATGTGCCCACCTCGGCCTCCCAAAGTGCTGGGATTACAGGCGTGAGTCACCATGCCTGGCCCATGTTGTTGCTTTGCAGTCACTTTGCAGAACACAGACCCAGGTGGGAAAGAGTTGGCATCCTTCAGCAACTTCCCCTCTTCTTAAAGATCGACAGGACTTATTTTTGGTTTTCTTTTTTTCTTTTAATTTAAAGTGTGGCCTTTGGGGTCTGCATGTACATATGGGGTTGTAATGCAGCATGTGGGAAGAAGTCCAGGAGAACTTTTGGAAAAAACACCAGGCATTTTATCTTTTCAGTGACATTTTATCAAACTATGTGACAATGTATTTGAGGCACTCAGAGCCAAAGTCTTGTGCCTCTTACTTAAAGTCCTCCCCTCCTACTTCTTAGGTAAATAAATAAGAACTTCCTGCTCTCCTCCTTTCTCTCTCAGACTTTCCTTCTCCTCGCCTCTGCATTGATTCTATAAACAATCTTTGCCCCCTTCACTTTTGGAAAGAGGAAGGGGTCAGTCCTGGCTAAGATATGCCCTGGGAAGGTGACTGCCAGAGAATGTGGTTAACCTGCCAGCTTCTTGTCTTTGGGGGAGGTCAATGCCAGGCCCATACTTGGTTTGAAGAGACATTGTCATAGTTTTCTTTTTTGTCACTGGGGTGTATCTCCCTCTCATATTTCCCTAATATGCTTTTCAACTTAGGAAAAATAAAAAAAAGGAAGAGAATAATAATAGAAAAAAGCACTGGACCCCTGTTGGGTCACATGGCCATCTCTGCATTCACCACTGTGGCTCAGGGTTCCTGTGACAGGAGAAACTGAATAGAAACACTCTCCTCTGCCCTTATCAGTGATTCAAGGTTGGAGAGGTAGAAAAGCCATTTCCCCAAATTGGAGCCTGCTATTTAATGCAGATTAAGCAATGGTTATTAATCAGAAAATCAGAATTGATTGAATTGGTTATCAGATTTTTTTGTGCCCTAAAACCAGTGACCAAATATTGACTTACTGTATCAGAGATACTTCAAATGTAGAATATTGTAAATAAACGTCAAAATGGTGCAGTGGAGGAAGTGGGCATCTCAGACTTTTGCACCGAAGAGCTCTGTTGCCTTTGGTAAATCACTTAAATGACTTACCTCTGGGTCTCTGTCTGTGAAGTGAGCATAAATGACTTCATTATAGTTTTGTTTTAAGGACTGGAGAGGAGAAAACATGTCTGCAAATTGCCTCTGGTGTCGAGTACACAGTAATCACTTAGATGGTGGTGACCGGTGTTGTTATTTGCTGCTGCTGCAGAATTTTGCAGTGGAAGCACTTTTTGGGGGCCTTCTTATAGCAATGCATATTCCATCTGAACACTCTGCCAAGACTATAAAAGTTCTTCATCCCTGCTGGTAGCACAAAGGCAAATGTTCCACAATATACAAAATACACGTTTATTTTGTTTCTATTATCTTCCCATCTAGGTTCCTACTTTCTTCTTTCTTTCCCCCTCCCTATTCTTTCATTTCCATCTTAAGTTGATTTTCCCCATCTATCTTCCATCTCTGAGTGCCTAGTGCTGACCCTCTGCCCACCCAGGGACTTTGATGTTTCTTCAAACTTGTGGGCTCAGTTCATCAGAGAATGTGAGGCCCATTGAGCTTCTAGTGGCATGACCAGATCACTAATAACAAAGTTTCAATCCTGACACCGATTGCTCTGGGATGAGAGAAGAAAAATGCTAATTATATGGAAAAGAGTTGTATACTAAACGTGACCATTTGCTCCTACAAATCACACTGACAAATTGCTATAGGTAGAGTTCACAGCAAACAGTTTTAAACAGGAAAGGTGTATTTGTATTCTGCGCAATGAGGTCTCTGTGAAAGGGGGGGCGTGGATTCAAGATCCGAATTTTTCATTCTTATGTGTGTCTGTGGTGATGGTGGTGGGGGAGGGGATGGCAGACCAAATTCCACTGTGCCTTTCACATTTGGATGGTATTAGCATATTTTAAAGCATCTTCCTTTTTAATAAGCAGTATGTGTTCTGGAAATGCCAACTCATATTAAAATATAATTAGCAAAGTAATCTTCTTCTCTTCATAAAGATAATGCATTTTAAATTCAATATACACATTTTGCTACTTGCATCATGCAATCCATTTTATTTTCTGGTCATACACGTTGGTAGACCAGGTCAATAGATTAACAGAAAACCAATATAAATAGCGTCCACTTGAGATATCATGGATTGCTGTACAACAAAATATAGCTTCCCTTTAGCTTTGAACTTCACCATAATTTCACCTCATCAACAAATACATCCTACTCTCAGCTTCAGAATGCACTTAATTCTAGATTACTCTCCAATATTTTCTCGACTTAGTATGTTGTTTTTTGTTCTTAGTTCCTTTTTCTGTGTATTGACAATTTTTTATTATTTTCAATATGTTAATCCTCCTTAATAAAAGCCATTTATGCAATTCTCTTAGCAGAGTAACTTGTTAAGTACTTTTTTTGATGATGGTGATGTTGGTATAAAAATACCCCACATTATATAATTGAGAGTGATTGACAGTGATTTATGCATTTGTAACACCTTAAGACTTTGCCATTAACAAGTGTCATCCATGTCAAAACATAAAAAGGCAATTACTTTGTGGAAAGAGATGTTACCCAAGTAATTCCTGAGAAGTGTATGTTACTTCCAGTAGAAATGAAATTACATGTCATGGCCAATGAGAGCACTTCTTGCAGTCATCAATGCATAATCTTAATCTTAATGAGGTTCCAATCACATTTGCCTGTCATAGGCTTTTAAACATCTCCTAGGTCTGTTACTTGGTTCCATTAATTAGTATGTATATTTTCAGGAGCCTAAAATAGATATCATATTAAGCAAAAGATTTTGAGATCTGGTTCTTGACATCTTGTTTGGTTTTTATACTATTCATAGGCAAGAGCAGCTTCAGCATTAGTTAAACAGCCTTCCTTATTCTGGTAAGACAGAGAACATATGTTACAGGCATTCAGCCACTCTACAAGAGAGCCTTATTAACATTTTATTTTTTCTTTTTTTTTTAGGTTTTACTAGGCATGAAAAGAGAATTGTCTTAGAGATCCACAATGTACATTTTTGGTATTTTGGAGAGGAGCTGGAGAGGTGTGGAAAGACTGCTACCGACATTGGTGAATTCTATCAGTTCTCTGGGTGATGGGTCACAATTAAAAGCCAGCTTTATAATCTCTAAAGACAGCAATATGCTAATTCTACTAGAAAAGTTAATAGCTATTTTGTAGGCAGTGACGATCAAAGAGTATGTTTCTATTTGATTTTGCAGGAAAGACGCCTTGGAAATTAAAAACAGCTCACCTTGAACAGCTCAGACTTTAAAAGTCTGACTCTGAGCCTTTGTATTCCAATGACATATTTCACTTTTAAATTTGGCTAAGCATAAAGCAGATGAGTGACAAATATGTGGTGGAAACATGTCACTATAGGTCATGTCTCAATGGTGTTTTTCAACAGCTAGTAAATGTAATATCCCTTTGTACAATTTCTGAAGCATTCAAGTGACAATAGTAACATAAAGTTCATCTGAGTCATGTAACATATTGCAGATATTAAAATCAGCTTATCTTTATTTAAAACAAAAGTGTTTTGAGACATGCTTTCAAATGGCTGTCAAATATTAACTTTGTACTTTTTATTTCAACAGTTATAAATAGCACTCTAAATAATCCATGGCTCTCAGTGCCATATTAGCATCTTCTATCAAGGTTTTATGCAAATATCTAGTTAATGAAGGAACCATTATTGTAACAATGTTGAAGAAATATTATTTGATGATAGTGATAACTCTTACAAAAGTAGTTTTATTTGAAACATGATACAAAATGAGGTTCCAGAATATATAACTAAAAAATAGCAATAGTTTCAGGATCCTGAATATTTACTTCTCTATATTGGGAAATTTTAATTCTATACATCATAGTTGTATTTTCCACAATCAACACTATGAGGAAATGTATATGAGTAAGATCAACAAAAAAAAGTAAGCATAACTTCCAACATAGTGCAAGTGTGTATTCTTCTTAGAGTAAACTTTTTTATTATCTTGACTTATAGATTTAGATAGTGAAATTTAAAAAGTTATATTGATATATTAAAATCTATTAGAGGGACTGAATTCAGAAATATAGTTAATGAAATAAATAAGATGAAGGTGCTTCATAAACTTAAGTGCTGAATAAGCACTGAAAGCTGTAAATAGCTCAAATCATCCTCCTAGCTCAGGGATACTTCTGTTGGAACAGACCAGTTAAAACTGAGGATTCTGTGACTATAATTAGTAAAATATTGTCTTCTTATCCTGAAAATTCAAACAAAATCAACTATTTGGATCGACTCCTTTCCAGCCCATGATATCTAGCCATTTCAGCAATCATCTGAGAACCCTATCTGGAATTCCATCACAAATAATGCTCTGTAAAGCAATTCTAGGGACAAAATTCAAAATACTCAAGTTTAGATGATTAAAGTCAAGATTTTGTTCTTCGGTTCAAAGATTAGTTGTACACATAGTTTGCATTTCAAATGACTACAGTGAGAATGATATTATGATAATGGCAGCCTGGAATGGAGTTGCTAATTACAGAAACTCATTTTAGAGGATCCAAATACCTCTTATTCATGAGTCTTATCTGGCCTGAATAAAGATAGTCTATGATGTAGTATTAGTTACCCTGGGAATAATCAATATTTTAATACATTTTAAAACATTAAAAATGTTCAAGTGGCTCTTTTGGAGGAGTAAGTTAGCATTTTTTATTGTTGACTGCTGTTTGAGTCCTTGTGCTCCGGGTGTTAAATAAAATGTTCTGTTACTGAGGAAAATTAAACAGAATAAAGATAAAAAGCTTTAATATAGGGAGTATCCAATTTAAGCATAGGTTATTTAAGTTGGTTTACTGGAACTTGGAGACTGTTTTCTAATAAAAGTTATACTCTGAATATTAAGAAAGAGAATAAAACTAGTACACACACACACACACACGCACACACACACACCCTATCCCAATTTTCCCTGTAGTAGAGCATATACAAAGGGGAAAAAAAAGACAGAGAAGAAAATGTCTCTGTGTACCTTAAATCCTGGCACTGAGAAGTACTGGTATATTTAGAAGACGCCATCAGTTTTATGAGGAATGAGAGGGAAATTTTAAATTCCTTGAAGGGCTTAAAATATACTGTATGGTTTTTCATTTTTTTTTTTCTTGATGCATCTTGTTAGTAATACTAATATTGTGTTTTATCTTTAATCAGCTATGCCTTTTTTTTTTTTTTTTTTTTTTTTTTTGAGACGCAGTCTCGCTCTGTCGCCCAGGCTGGAGTGCAATGGCATGATCTTGGCTCACTGCCACCTCCGCTTCCCGGGTTCAAGCGATTCTCCTGTCTCATCCTCCCGAGTGGCTGGGATTACAGGCGCCCGCCACCACACCGGTAATTTTTGTATTTTTAGTGGAGACGGGGTTTCACCATATTGGCCATGTTGGTCTAGAACTCCTGACCTCGGATGATCCGCCCACCTCGGCCTCCCAACCTGCTGGGATTACAAGCATGAGTCACCGCGCCCGGCCCATTTTTGGTTTTCAAGTGAAAGCTGGTGAGGTTAGGAGACTGATAATGCAGTTAATATTAAGAGGAAAAGAAACGTTTTGTTAGGCAAGGGGCAGCACCAAGAGAAAGGAAGAACTAAAGGGATTTACAAAGAAGTGTATCTCTGGATAAAACAAAGACTTATTGTATTGGAATTAACAAAATTATGGGTAATACATAACAAACAAACAGAAACCAACACATAAATAAAGGAAGCTGTGCCTGTGCATACGTTTCTCAGATGAAATATGGGGTCATCCATTCTCATAACCAACCACCAGGTGGGGCCAAAGCCCCACCACAAAGGGATGGAAGATGGCAATCAGCATGGAACAGTGGCTACCTAGAAGACTCTTAAGTTTTTTTTTTCTCTTGAAAGAATATGAGATTGATGAGCCAGTATTTATGATTGTTTTTTCATGTCTAACTGACTCCCTTTGTTCATATTTTAAAACATTAGGATCTGAAAATGGAAGTGGATATTAGCTGTAATATGAAAGAATACAAATTTTAAAAGATACCTTATACTTTCCATTATCATTAAGATTTCAAGGCCTCAAAGAAGATAAAAATGTTATTGCATCATTGCTTTTCATATTTGAAATGATTTTGGCATTGACAGCCCTTGTCTAAGAAAAATGGCCAATCACCATGCATCCTTCTTGCAAAAGATTTCATGTACAGCTGCTTGTAATTGAAAACAAAGTGTTAAAACAAGCGGTTTAAAATATAACTAACATATTTCAGATCACTTTAAAACATTTTGGGGTGCACCCAAATAGCACTGATTATATAAAAAGGATTTTGCACTTTACTAATAATAAATAGTTGTGTGCTTTTTCAAATTCGAAAGTAGTATAGGAAGTTAACGCCATCTATTTTTTAGGATACAGTGCGATGCTATCATTTTTGACATTAAGCACTATGATTAGTCCAAAATAGTTTTCTTTAGAAGTGATCTGATCAAATACATGTTAACATTACCATGTAAATGGTGAGTAGTTAAGTTTGTTATTAGTAAATGGGAAGCCTACCACTGCACACACATAACACTTCTCCTGCAATCTTATCTATTTTAAATGTATTATTTAACATAATTGTATAAAGACAAATTTAATCTTAATGTGTCAGAAAGTATTATCATCTTGCAAGCAGTCCTCCAAGGTTAATAATATCTGGGAATATAAAGTGTTTTTGACTGTAAGATTAGTCTTCTTATTTGAAAAAGGCTTTAAATTTCATTTCAAAGGAGATTTCACGCCCCATGAAATTTAAACTATGACATTTAGAAAACACTCACTTGATTATAATGCACTGAAAAATTATAGTGCAAATGCTTCTTGTTCCTATCCATCAAAACTGTTGTTAAAAATGTAAAGGGAGCTTTCTTAGGTAAAAATTATGTGATATGCTGGGGAAAAAAATGAATGCCTCCAACTGTTCATCCTGAAGTCAGGTAATTACTGCTTCAATTATGTTATTGAGTGCTTTGAAATTAGGTCCTACAGTAGGTTTCAGTAGAGTTTATGTTGAGATAACCTTTTGTTCATTGAATTTTCTGTTTATCCAAATGTTGTATGAAGGGTTCCACAGGCCTTAAACATAAGTTTTAAGGAAATCTTTTTAAAGTACTCTTCATATTTCTTCTGTGTCATAAACTAATGCTGAGATCATAAGGTGCAAAAATGTGGTACTTTTAAATACTAATGCAAATACATCATTTATTATCACATAGCATTTTTAGATATTCTGGCTAGAGCTCAACTTTTATTTGTGTCTTCTTTTCAAAACAGACTAGTTTTGAACCATATCAAAAAATCTAAGAAATTAAGATTCCTACAAAATTTAATGCATGATGATAATACTTTCATTCTTCAGTTTTAGATCATGTTTATCATAACCCCAAATTATGCCTTAATGTCTATTTTGCTTTCTTAAAAATCAGAAGCTGACTTAATCCATCAAAATTTCTAAGAAGATCCTAAGAAATACAAACCACACTGTGAGTAGCAATGGTCCTTAGCAGAAACTCAACACATGTTAGTTGAATGACTGCATTGGTGTGTCAATATGTGGCAGAAATTATGTAAATTATACCTACTGTAGTGTCAAATAATAATGACTAAAATCACATTCTGACAAAGAATATGTGTGCTTATATTTCACATCTGTAAAAATCTCATTATATTAAATAAGACCAGCTCTTTTAAAAATAAATATAAACAAATAAAACAAAAGATGAAGTATACACTTTGTGGTCTAAGTTGAAAAGAGTTGGAAATAAATCATAGGAGAAAGATAAGGTATCAAAATGTCATCTTTATTACTTTTTTGTTTTTTTTTTTTTTTTTTTGAGATGGAGGCTGGCTCTGTCACCCAGGCTGGGGTTTGGTGGTGAGATCTCAGCTCACTGCAACCTCTGCCTCACGGGTTCAAGGGATTCTCCCACCTCAGCCTGTAGTTGGGACTACATGTACGTGCCACCATGCCTGGCTAATTTTTGTATTTTTAGTGGAGATGGAGTTTCACCATGTTGGCTGGGCTGCTTTTGAACTCCTGACATCAAGTGATCCACCTGCCTCCCAAAGTGATGGGATTACAGGCATGAGCCATGGAGCCCAGCCATCTTTATGACTTTTGAAGCCCATTGGTTAATGATGAAAAATGTTTGCTAATCTCTGCACTCCGCACTGGCCTATCGTATTATCAGGAAGAGCTGGGTAACAATAAGCCCCATACCCTGCACCTATGAGCCTACAAAAAAAATGTTCACTTGGTGCTGAACAAATCAGAGGAGAAAATAAGTCTTCAAGAAGTAGCCACAATTAGATTGTTCTTGTGCAGTTTTGTAGCCCAGATTTATATCAACTGTGTTGCACAAAAATCCTGGATTGGAGCCATGAAGTTATTTTGAAAACAATCCCAGACTTGTAGTTTCACTAGGCTGTGGGGAAGCAAATGGGAATCCGATCTGAAAGACGTTATTCTTTTAGTCTAGGTATCAAAAATTCCCCACAAAGAATTATTTTCAACCAAAATAAGCAGGGTTGGTCAAACACACACACACACACACACACACACACACACGTACAATGAGAGAATTGGCAGGAAAAAAGGAAAGCCAAAGTAGATCCCAAAATAATATATTAGAATTATGAGACACTGATTAGAAAATAATTATTGTTTCTATACTTAAAGAAATAAAAAGTATATATATATATACATCTGAAGAGAAAATAATAATATAAAATTGATGAAGCAGATTTGAAAAGGTAGCATATATACCTTTTAGAATTAAATATTACAATAACAAATATTGAAAACTTAATACATGGATTTAAACACTAATTACATACAGATGTAGACAGAATTAGATAGAAGAAACATCAGAAGAAATTACCCAGAGCACACTTCACAGAGAGACAGGTTAAATGGTATAAGAGGTTTAACTGGGTCATAATTAGAAGAAGAAAGAGTGAATGCTCTCTCACAGCTGGTGACTTTCCAGAACTGGTAAGACACCAATCCATAGACTCAAGAAGCTCAGTGAATCTCAGAAAGTATGAGCAAAGACAGCTACATTTAGACACATTATAATGAAATTGAAGAGCACCAAAGGAAAAAAAACTTAGAAGTCACCCAAGGTAGGAAAAAAGTATATTACCTCCAAGGATTTCTAAATAGATCGATGGCTATCTTGTCATCAGCGATAATGACAACTAGAAGAGAGTGGGTTGAAATTTTAGTATACTGAAGAAAAAAAAATCTTGCAATCCATTAATTCACAGCAAAAAAAAATCTTTCAAGAATAAAAATGTTTTCAGATAAAAAAACTGACAGGATTTTCAATTGATAGATATTTGCTACAGGAAACAGAACAGGTAGGAGTTCTACAAAGCAGCAATAAAAAATCAAAGTGGCCCCATATTTTGGTAAATCAGAATGATTATTGACTGTAAATATAAATCATAGTAATAATGTCATGGTGGATTACACTGATAAAAATTAAAACTTATGACAGCAATAATATATAGGTTGGAGTGGGAATAAGTGGACATAAAGTCAAGTCCTTGTTTTTTCCAGGAAGAGACAAATTGTTTATTGATTCATATTAGAAAAATAAACATGCATGTGATAACTTATAAGTAAATTAGTAAAAGGAATAAACAGACTATGTAACTTCCAAATTATTGGAGGAAAAACAGAAAGATGAAACATATTCATTAATCCAAAAGAAGGAAAAAAGGGATCAAAAGAGCAACATACAAAAAGCAGTAAGATGCTGCTAGATGATAAACTTAAATACAAACAGATTGGTAAATACATTAAAGGTAAATTGTCTAGTTGGCTGAATTTAGAAAGATTGTCAAGTAAAACCATCTGAATGAAAAACATTATGAAAGACACATCTAAATGATAAAGCTGTGTGAAAAGCTATATATAAATATAAGAGTTAAAAGCAAAAGGGTAGAAAAGACAACCATACAAATAATATCCAAATGAAACCTGGTGTATTTATTTGTATATCATACAAAATAGAATTTAAGGTCCACAGTATTACTCAGGATAAAAATGGCCATTTTATAGTAGTAACAGTTTCAGTTTCTCAGGAACATAAATAATTGTGAATTTGGACATATCTACAAACTTAGTTTCAAAATACATCAAGCAAATATAGTCAGAAACAAAGGGGAAATTAACAAATTGACAATCATAGTAGTAGAATTTAACAATTATGTCTCATTAATTGATAGAAGGCACGCGAAACCAGTAAAAAAAAATAGATTTATAAGATGGAATTAACAAATCTGATCTAATAGACGCATACAGAACATCACATCACATAACTATACAATGCACCTTCTTTTCAGAAACACAGAGAATATTTATAAAAGTTGCCTATAGAAAACTTGACCGTACTGCCAGTTTCCACACATTTAAAAAGATTGCTATCCTAACAACTGGAGGATTAACCTAGAATTCAATGATCAATCAATAATACAATATAACATTTCCATCCTTTGGAATTAAAAGCTCAAAATCTATGTTCAAAGGATAAATCATGATAGATACAAAAAATATTCTGAAAAGTTATACTGCAAATACTATTATGTCAAACTATTGGAAAAAAGTCAAAACATTGCTTATTTAGAAAAGAACTGTAGGGGCTGGGTGTGGTGGGTCATGCCTATAATCCTAGCACTTTGGGAGGCCGAGGCGGGCAGATCACAAGGTCAAGAGATCAAGACCATCCTGGCCAACATGGTGAAATCCCATCTCTACTAAAAATACAAAACTTAGCTGGGCATGGTGGTGAGCACCTGTAGTCCCAGCTACTTGGGAAGCTGAGATCATGCCACTGCACTCCAGCCTGGCAACAGAGCAAGACTCCGTCTCAAAAAAAAAAAAAAAAAAAAAACCTAAAATTAATCAAATTATCAATTTCATTGTTATTTAAAAATCCAAAGCAATTCCAAATAAAAGGAACATAACAGTATAACAGTAGTTTAGGTAAAAGATTAAATTAATGTTATAGAAATAAAGACATGCTAAAAATTTTGAACAAAGCAAAAAGGTTGTACTTTGAAAAGATTACAAAATGAACAAAATTTGATTGATGATACTATCTACTATCGACACTATTGATCAAGATGATAAAATAGAAGGCACAAATAACTGATGCCAGAAGTGAAAAAGGAAGCCTAATTTTAGATGTTATAGATGTTTTAAAAAGATAATGTAAAGATTTTACGAACATCTTTAAGTCAACACATTTGAAAATGTAGATAAAATGAGCGAAGTCTTAGAAAAGATGTAGCTTTGCAAATCAGAGAAAAGAGGAGCCTGAATTAATACTTAAATGTCTTCCTGTGGAGAAAACTCCAGGCTTTATGAACTTTAGTGTGCTATTACTATAGAAAAAGATAAAAAATGGCAAAATATGATCAGCTATAAAATAAGACACTTAGAAAGCCTTTCCCATGCTTGCAGATGGTATGATCAGATTGCTGTGAAGTTCCAGGGCCTTGGGCTGTGAAGAAGCAGATGCTTGCTGTCGAATTCATGACCATCTCACCCAAGCATGAACATCTCCATTCTCTGCATCTTAATCCTCAATCTTTTTTTTTTTTTTTTAATCACAGCATTAAAGAACGAAATGCCAGGCCATATGCTTATGGGCACGTTCACCTTTCTTTGAACCTTTACAAGATACAAGAGATGAAAAAAATAATGACGTGTCATACTTAGCATTCAAGTCTGGCCATGTGTGGACATTTGGACTACAAAAGGAATAAAATCAGCAGATTAGAAAGAATGTTGGGTCTTTCTAATCTTTGACTTTTAAAACTGCATGAATGATCATGGTGAATCATTTTTATTTTTAGCATGTCTGCCTTCAACAAGTTTGATCATATGAAGAAAAGAAAATGTGACTTCTTTGGAACTGAAATACATACATATTGGACACCTTTCTATAGGTCTTGCTTTTTAAATTACACAGAAATTTCTATGCACGGGCATCAGCTTTCAATTTCCTTTTTCTTACTTTGAACTTGAACATAACAGCTTAAATGTTACCTGACCCTGTTTCACAATGGCATAATATGATGATTTTATATTAATTCACATTAATAAAAAATGATAAAAATAATAATTCTCCCTACTAGTGGCTAACATTTACTCAGCTGCTTACCATGAATCCAGCACTGTCCTAAGCATTTTCATCACAACTAACATTTATTATTATGTTTCACAAACTTTACATGAATTATAGAAGTTTAGTCACTTGCCCATGGTTATGAAGTTATGAAATGGCAAGACTCGGATTCAAACCCAAGAAGTCTGAATCTAGGATAGTGGTTCTCAACTCTAGTTGAGGGCTTATTAAAACACTATTCGCTGGGCACGCCCTTAGTAGGTCTGAGGTGGGGCCAAAGAATTTGCATTTCTGACAGGTTTTTGAGTGAAGCTGATGCTGCTTGTCCATGGAACACACTTAGAGAACCATTGCTGGAGGACCCGTGCTGGAAGGTACTGTGCTATCTTGCCTCCCTGTAGCATCTCATTTAATCTGCTGACAACTCTGAGATATGCACTGTAATGATCTCTACTTCTAGATAGGGAAATTGAGAATGAGAAAGATTAAGTATGTAACTGAAGATCAAACAGCTAGTAAATAGTAGAATCAGAATTTAAACCCATGACTATCTGACTCTTTCTATTTTACTTAAAGTGTGTGTAAGTGCACGTGTATAGGTGTGTTTAGTTTAAAAATAGTTTAACGTAGATTTTAAATTCTAGTTAAAATCCATCATTGTGGAACCATTATTCTCTGTAGAGTTCTATCCAATGGTTTCTTAGAACATGGTTTAAAAAGCATTGCAGAGACCAGGCGTGGTGGCTCATGCCTGTAATCCCAGCACTTTGGGAGGTGGAGGCAGGTGGATCACCTGAGGTCAGGAGTTCAAGATCAGCCTGGGGAAACCCCATCTCTATTAAAAATACAAACATTAGCCAGGCATGGTCGTACGTGCCTGTAGTCCCAGCTACTGGGGGAGGCTGGGGCAAGAGAATCACTTGAACCCAGGAGGCTGAGATTGCAGTGAGCCAAGATTGGGCCACTGCATTTTAGCCTGGGCAATAGAGCAAGGCTCTGTCTCAAAAAAAAAAAAAAAAAAAAACAAGAAAAAAAAACAATAAAAACCACTGCAGAGCCCAAACTTTTAACCATTTCTACCATAAGTTAAAATAACCCAGACCCATCTATGAATTTTTAGGGATCACTTAGAAAAAATAAATTGCAACTTTTGCTTTTTTTTCTTTGAATTCTGGATATCTATACTGAGCATTTTCTGGGATATTGTTGATTTTGAATAATCCCTTATTGAAATAAAATGTTTTTTATTCAAAATTAATAGATAATGTACAGTGGCATGGGAAAGTTTTCTCTCAAAATTATGTTTTTATAGTTTAACAATTCAGATGAGTTTACTAAACTAAATGAATTAAATTTCAAAATTCACAGTGGGGAAAAGAACATCATGAAATTGTAGACTGTATGGATCCTATAAATCTAAATTATTGCATATTTCTTTCTCACTGAACATTTGAACCCCAGTTTCTATTTTTTTCTTATATTCCAAAGGAACTTATTCACAGGGATCAAAGGTTTTTATACTGACCACTGCTCTTACCTATTCTTCAATTTTTTACAGTACAGCATTACTTTTAGATCAAAGCCTTCTTTTGGGTGGTCTTCCTGCTTAAGAGGCAGAGACAGTATGGCAGGAGAATTTTAAAATCCAAGGAATGTCCCACTTGAACAAGTGTGGCTATTATAGGGATTTTAGTAGGAGATGGAAAAGCCGTGTCTTAGAATTCATGGTTGCAATGTTTATCTTGGTATTTTGAGATGTCAGGAAATAACTTTGCCATTAATAGTAAATTGTGTGCTGAAACGTATTGATTCATATTTCCAGAACTTCTTGTGTAAGTATAGCTGAAAAGTAGGCTATCTTCCCTTTGCTGTTAGGGCATAGAAGGCTTTACGCATTAAGCCCTGGGTTTAATGCGTAAACCCAATGGCTGGAGCAATGTGCTTGCCTGGCTACTTCCATTTTCTTCTCTCTTTGAGGCATCTTTAGAAATAAGCTTATTGCAGGGAGAAGCAAACATTACACTAAGCTGTTATTGATATTTCAGCGTTATTTAAAGTATTCAGAAAAAAATTAAAAATAAAAAAATTAGATTTTTTTTCTTATGAGTAATTTTAGAAGGGGGTTCTGCTTTTATTAACTGACTCAGTAGACCTACAGACTCAATTCCAAATTATGTAATTAAAAATTATAAATATTGAGAGTATTATAATTAACCTGATCAATTCTCAAGTCTAGATAAATTCACGTTATTTGTTCTGGACAGTAAGGGGACTGGAGACTCCTTGCTGAGATATTTCTTCGAGGTCTGTGGAAAAACACAGCTCTTCACCTTTCCCCTTACCTAGTATCAAGAAGACTGTTTTACCTAGGACAGAAAAGTGCCACATTAGTAGGGACCTGAGACTGATTTCTCACAGAAGAAAGAAACTTCATTCTGTCCTGAATTTTCCAAGAAAAGACAACAGGTCAGAGTAGGAATACATATTCCTTGGCCTGGACAATTCTCAGTCTGACTTTCCCTGAATATATTTTTTCCTGTAAAATATTTTTGAACTATTAAAAAACTCTCCTGGTGTCTCTACCAAGATAAATGCTCTCAGTAAGGATAAACATGAACGGATAAATGGCTAATAGCTACCTTCCCTTTAGTGACCACATAGATAGCCCTTGGAATTTCTTTCCTTATTTCTGAGTTCATGCAGCCTTTTGCTTTGACTGCGTCTCTAGCTTAATAACAAAGCTGGTGCTCATTTTTTAGGTGAATAATCGTTTTCTTACTTTTGGCTCATTATTGAAGTTTCTTTCTTTTCTAAACACTTTTGAGTTTATCGCTATTGTTATATTCCTCTTCAGTTTTTATTTGGTCTCACTATTGACATTTATTCTTTTCAGTCTTTCTTTATAAATTAATCCTTTCAGTTCTATTGGCCTTTTTGTTACTCATTCTCATATTAAACACTGTTTCCAAAAATATAACCTCAATGCATTTTTGTAGCATAATATACATCTGAGAAAATTAAATATATTTCTGTGTACTTTATGAAACAAGGAACTCTAAGGTGACTCTCCTATTAGTCTTCATGCATTAATTGGGTGCCAGTAAATGTGATATGTGTGTGGATTACCAAACACACTTGAACCTCTGGGAACCCTGTAGTTATTCGGTTAAATCTGTCCTTTCATAAAACTGTAAACACCTTGATGGCAGGAACTATGTCGATTTTCCTCTTTGTGCAGTAACACATTTTGAAATGGGATTTTCCTCTTTGTACAGTAACACATATTTTGAAATGGGATTTTCCTCTTTGTACAGTAACATGTTTTGAAATGGGATTTTCCTCTTTGTACAGTAACACATATTTTGAAATGGGATTTTCCTCTTTGTACAGTAACATGTTTTGAAATGGGATTTTCCTCTTTGTACAGTAACACATATTTGAAATGGGATTTTCCTCTTTGTACAGTAACACATAGATTGAAATGGGAAAGAAAGACCACATTTTGAGTTGAAATTGGTAGTTTATGGCATAATGGCTTCAAGTAAAATTTCAATATTCCTAAAAGTGGGTTTCTAGAATTATTTTAGCAGCCAGCGAACAGAAATGTTTGAATTGAAATACTTGAACCACCTGAAGCATCCCTGATTTTACAGTAGTGTTTTATCCATAAGGAAAAATTGTCTTTTAAAATTATTTGTTTTTTACTTTTAGAGATGGGTTCTTACCACTATACCATATTTGATCAAAAAGTATGCAGATGGACATCTGCACTTGATGAAATATCTGAGGCCAAAAGTTATAAGAACTCAAAATTCTGCCCAACCAGCAAGATCCTTTTCTATAAAGAAGTCTTCTCCGCTCATCATGCCAATAGATAGAAATAGTCCTGTACTTTGGGCTTTAAACATATTTATTGTTCTGGTTTTTTTTTTTTTTTTTAAGAAATGGGATCTTGCTCTGTTGCCCAGGCTGGAGTGCAGTGGTGTGATCATAGCTCACTGCAGCCTCAAACTAAATAGCTGAGATTATAGGTGCAAGCCACAATGCCCAACTAAAAAAAATCAGTTCTAGACTAAAAGAAATTTAGATGTCGACTAGAATGTGTTAATGTTTTTGAAATTTTATCAGATTGTATTAGTCAGCTCAGGCTGCCATAAACAAAACATCACAGACTAGGTGGCTTTAACAAGAGAATTTTTTTTTTTCTAGCGGTTATGGAGGCTACAAGTTCAAGATCATGGTGCTGTCAAATTCAGTTTTTGGTGAGGGCTCTTTTCCTGGTCTGCCTTCTTGCTTTGTTTTCACATGGCCTTTCCTATGTGAGTGCATAGAGAAAGGGTATCTCGTGTCCTCCTCTTCTTATAAGGAGACCAATCCTTTTGTATCAGGGCCACACTCTTATGATGTCATTTAACCTTATCCACGTTCTAAAGATCTTATTTCCAAACACAGTGACTTAAGGTTTAGGGAATTAACATATGAACGTTGTGTGGGGGGAGACAACGAGCAAATCTTTCTATAACACAGGTGGATTTTTAACTTAAAGCAATACTCATTACTTACAGTGCTTCATTCATTGCATAGAAGGGGTCTCCAGTGGAAATACAATAAGGAATGATAAAGGCTTCACTAAAGTAGACTTTCAAAACCACCATGCTTAAAGAGTACTGAAGAAAAATAGTCTTAAAAGTTAGACTTTCACTTATAAGGATTAGGCTCGAGATAAAAAGGCTCTCTGATTTGCAGGTGTGTTCTATAAACATCAAGAACCAGCACCTAGAGGAATCCAACTTGTAAGATGTATGTAGGAATGGATGTGAAGGCAGTTTTTCAGACTGAAATGAGGTAAAGGTCTAACCATTTGGCTCAAACGGAAAGAGCTGGAGAAGGGGGAATAAGATTGAAAAACAGGTGTTTTTGAGAGGGCTGTGTCCCTAGACTCTCCTGAAACTGAATCTCTAGTGCAGTAGAGAATATTTGTTCCCCTAATAACTTGGATGATACTTGAGCAGAAAAGACTCATATTCTAGTTTCTGCCTAGAACCCTGGGAATAGTTGTTCTTCCAAAATTTTCTAAGCCATTGTAGAAATTGAGAATTTTTTTCCTTCTCTACTATACATTATGTGATATTTCATGCTTGCAATTAAAGTTAATTATAAAATTAAAAAAATTCTAAATAAATGAATGTCTTAAATATACTGGAGAAAGTCTAGAATATGGCATGTCTTCCTTATTTCAGTACTTTTTTTTTTTTTTTTTTTTTTTTTTTGAGACGGAGTCTCGCTCTGTCGCCCAGGCCGGACTGCGGACTGCAGTGGCGCAATCTCGGCTCACTGCAAGCTCCGCTTCCCGGGTTCACGCCATTCTCCTGCCTCAGCCTCCCGAGTAGCTGGGACTACAGGCGCCCGCCACCGCGCCCGGCTAATTTTTTGTATTTTTAGTAGAGACGGGGTTTCACCTTGTTAGCCAGGATGGTCTCGATCTCCTGACCTCATGATCCACCCGCCTCGGCCTCCCAAAGTGCTGGGATTACAGGCGTGAGCCACCGCGCCCGGCCTTCAGTACTTTTCTCGTGCCTTCAGAAATGCTGTTTTTTAGCCCCTCACCCCCTACTTTTTTTTTTCTAAAGACAGGACTGCTAATTTCCTGGTCACAGTTACTAGGGATAAAAGCAAAGGTAGTAAACTGTCTTTCTAGAATGGTTTTGGAAACCTTGAATCCTTTAACAAGATAAAATTGTCACAGTGACTCTCTAATGCTAAACACATCAGAAAATGCTTTTACTTTCTAGGACCTGAGAGATGGTAAGGTAATTCAATCACTCTTATAAATTGTATTCAGAAACATCTGTTTTGTAGCTATAATCTGACAAAATGGAACCTACAGAAAATGTCTTCTGATTAATATTCTTAAACTATTAAAAAGAATGAAGTAAATCCATGGCTCATTGAATACAGAATTATTTTTTTCTGAGATCTGGAATCAACCTATGCTATCATATGCAGACTTTTCCTATATGTATATTATTCATAATTTGGGTCTATGGTTTTAAGATTTTTTAAGCTTTGAAAGATCAAAAAAGGCTAAATATCACTGCTCTGCAGTAGATCCTGCAGACCCTCAGGGGAATAGGTATTAGGAAATAATTGAAAAATCTTGATCAGAAACAAGTTATGATAACTTTGTAAAAATTGTGCTCTCCTGGTTGTAAGAAAGAATCTTCTCTCATAAACACCAGAAAGATTTTTTATATGTTGAGCCTTTTTATTATGTGTTGTCAATGATACTTTTAAATGATAATGTCAGTTGGTAATTTCTGCTTCACTCTTTTACTTAGAATAGTTGAATTTCAGATTTAAAAAGTTCCTGTAGGGATAGGAAATCTTTATTGGAGCTTTCAAAATGAGGCAAAGTAAGGACATCAGCTTTGAATTCACATAATAGTATTACTTTTTGGGTAAAAATCCTCAAAATGAGATCATCATAGTAACTAAAACTATTATGAGGTCTGAGGTGGAATTTCAATATTCAGAATTTCTTAATACTCTTTCAGTGACATTTCAAGGAGCTTTGCACATATTGGGTATTTTCTGTGTGGACCTTTGGGCTCTAGGCTCATGGTAAGCATGGAAGAGGGCCAACATGTTTTCCTTTATAGAGCAACATCAGGAGTGCATATTTGTTGCAACATTTGTTCTGTCTTGCCAACTCTGCTGAGTGTGCCAACCATGCTGATCACACAGCAATTTAGGTTTTTCGCAGATTTTTCTGCCATTTGTGTTGGGGTAAAGGTAATATTCTGTGTAAAAAAACATGTAGACTAATATGTCTGAGGACTTCTAATGCAATCCCAGGACAGTTTAGATGTTGAGGTGCAGTAATGAAATCTTGGTAAGCACAACATGTTCACTACAAATAGTAATTGTCATCAGCATGGCTAACTACAGCTGTGGTTCAATTTCTTTTCCCTTGTATGTAGTTAAGCGGAGGCTCTGAACTATCCTATAATGAAGAAATACACGTGCTGTAGATCTTGACATGTTATTAGGGTTTTACTGTCAAACATGAGTGAATACTGAAAACATCCTATTGGTAAGATGATAGTAATTGCAGATGGGGAAAATGAAATTAAATCTAGCTGAATTTTTGGGTCAGTAATGAGTCGAGGGAAGGAAGTATCCATGAACATGCTTTTCAGGGAAGTGGCTAAATAATTTAGTAGAATACTTAAATTCTTGGATTATGTTTTCAATTTGTTGGATTCTAATGAGACAGAGAAAAGCATACTGTAACATTTTTATGCTTGAGCATGATGAAAAGAATGATATTTAAGAAACAATCATATTGTGGTCTTGCCTTCTTGAATGAAAATGAAAAGAAAACAAATAACTTCCTTTAATACATCTAAATAACATATAATGATAATGTTAATATCAGCAAAATGATAGCATTTATTATGTACCAGGTGCTGTCTAACCATTTTACCTGTATTAACTCATTTAATCCTTCCAACAATACTATGAAGTTGGTAGTGTTATTGTTCCCACTTTACAGAGAGTAACTTGCCCAAGTCACACAGCTGGGAAAGGGTTTATCTAGGATTCCAATCCATACAGCTTACCACAGGAGCTCCTTGCTTGCATAGAATACTACACTGACACTGAAGTAATAATAAAGCTAGCATTCATCTTATACCTTCTTTACTATAGGTACTGCTAACTCAACCCTCACAACAACCCTAATGTGGTAGGGACTATTACTCTTCACATTTCTCAGAGGAAGACTGAGACTCGGAGAGGTTAAGTGACTTGTTAACATCATAAATGATGGAGCTGTGATCTGTACTCAGAAAATCTAGTAAAAATCTGTTATTAACTATTCTGCTATTTACCTGTCTAATGTTTTCAAAGTAGGCAATTAATTTAGCTATGTCCTAGAGTCATAATAATTGAAATTGAGCAATTTGTTAAGGTTACTCCTTTTTGAATTTTATGGCACTTAAATGCTTCACCCAATGAGAAAAACTTATGTTATGCAAGCAGAAATGCTTATTACACAGGAATAGGTAGATGGATACTAACTTTGCTATGGAATTTCTGGGTTGGCCCTTTGGAATAATACATTTTACAAGATTATCAACATTTTTCCTTTCTATTTTTTAATGTAGATATAGCCATGATCTGCATTTACTGGGAATAAAAATTATGAAATCAGTAAGACACACTACAGTAGAGTGGTTATGAGCACAAACCTGGGGCCAAACTGCCTGGTCTCGAATCATCCACTGACTCCTTGCATGAACTTGAGCAAGTTACCTACCTACCATGTCTCACTTTACTCATCAATGAAATGGTTTGTTGGACCATTTTTGCATTGTTTTAAAGAAATACCTGAAACTGGATAATTTATAAAGAAAAATGATTTATGGTTATGCAGGCTGTACAAGCATGGCTCCCGCATCTGTTTCTGGTGAGGGCATCAGGGAGCTTACAATTATGACAGAAGTTGAAGGTAGAACAAGGAGGTCACATGGTGAGAACAGGAACAACAGAAAGAGAAAGGGAAGATTCCAGATTCTTTTCAACAGTCATATCTCTCTTGAACTAACTGAGCGGGAATTCACTTATCATCAAGGGGATGATTCTAAACCATGCGTAAGGATTCACCCCATGACCCAATCACCTCCCACCAGAACCCACCTCCAACATTGGGAATCATATTTCGCCATGAGATTTGGAGGGGACACACATTCAAATCATATCAAATGGGGATAATGCTAACCTCTATATAATAAGTTGTGAGGACTGAATGGATTTTTCTGTGTAAAATGTTCAGAGCAGTGCCTTGTATATTTGTAAGCATTACATACATCTGGTAGTACTAACTGTCCAGCTCACCAAGCATAATCACACCTCATGGTCTTTGCATGTGCTCTATTTTCTACCTGGCCTGCTCTTTTCTCCAGATGACTGCATGCCCCATTCATTGTCTCCTTTTGGTCTTTGTTCAAATGTTATCTTTGGTGTAGGTCTTCTGTGGCCACCCTTTCTAATATTATAATCCCATCCCCAACCTCTCTATATTTTATCCCCTTTTCTTACTTTATTCCCCAGCCAAGTCACGTGCCCTAGCAAAACTAGTTTAATTGTTTCCCTTATTATTTATGGGTCTCTTTATATTCCTCCTTATCATTTCTTTTGCTGGTTTATGTTTATGTTCTCTGGCTGCTACTTTGTGTTTTACTGATTTAACCTGTTTACACTCTGTCTCTCCTCACTAGAATGTAAGCTCTGTGAGAACAGAGATTTCCTGATTTCTCTGGGCTGCGTTGCTAATACCTGGATGAGCCCTGGCACAGAATAGGGACTTAATTAACATGTGTTCTATGCATGCATACATGCACGCATGCGTGGGTGAGTGACTGAATATTTCCTCTCAGTGCTAGGGGGTATCACACATCAGGTGTTACGTGATGTATTTGGTTTTGTATTCAAAGGAACACAGACACTTGTGTCTTCAGAGAACTATAGAATCTGCCGTAAGCCTTGGTGTGAAATAGAAAACGATGCTGTTTCTTCCAGAATGGAGCCATGAGCTAGGGCACGTGATTTGGCTGGGAAAGCACAAGACAGATTCCAGGCTCCTCTTGCTGCCACCTTTGTGTTCAGTAGAAGCATAAATTACTTTTTACTAAAGGAATCAACTGAGATATTAACATTAATGCAATTAATTGAAATGTTTTTGTAAAATAAACTAAAAGTTGGTTAGTAAACATCAATCTCTATCATCTGTCTAGCTATCATCTATCTTTCTAATCAATATATGCATATCATATGTAGGGTTTGTTTCTTTATTTCTTCTGATGAGGTTGATATTTATTTGACAACATGAAATTTTTATGTAAACCTTTTATATTTACTTAAAATAATATAAAGAATAATATTAACAGAGATCACTGCATTTGAAATTGATAGAAATTGGATTTTTTAATGTAAGGAAATGTTTGCCACTGGGAAGCAGAGTTGCCTTTCTGGTGTTTCAATTAAAATTTGCCTCATTATGGCCTGGTTTTGAAATTTTTACATTAACTCTGTTTTGAATCACCATGGAAAAATTGGATAGGCTCTATAATAGGAGAAACCATTTTCTACCTGGAAACATTTAAAAACAGTTTTCCAGCTTCAAGTTAGAAATACTAGGTGGTTCCTGACACTGTGTTGAAATTTACATACATTAACATGCCTAAATTATGTTAGCAATTAAAGATAGCCCATATATTTCTGTCTTCCCATTTTCCATGCCAGTATATTAACGTTAACTTTTATTTTCCTTTTCACTGTTCCTCCACATACATTTAATTCTTTCACTTAGAGAATTTTTTCTCTATTACCAGTTTTTCTCAGAAAAAATATTGTAAGTTTTCATAAAATGGGAATGTATAGATTGCAGTGGTGTTCCAGGGTGGCCTCTGAGAGCTTCTCTTCCATTCTAGGCTGAGGGTTCCTATGACCTATAAAAAGAGGTGTTGGTTATAATCTGGCACCTTAAATAATTTTTGCAGGTTCAGTCTTCCTGTGTATATTCTAATCACTATTTGTCTGACTTGAAGTTGTGATTTCTATTCAGTTGCCTTATACCTAGACTTTCTCTCTGCAGTCACTTCGGTTTTGTGAAATATCATTTCCTTTCCTATGCTGTTTTTCTTGGATTAACCTTGATGCTGCAATTTGCAGCTTAGGGATCCATCCAACCTGAGCCTGGAACTGAATCTCAGAATTTCAGCACAGTTTTCAGGCCATCTTGAGTTCAGATATATGAAGGAGCATGCACCTAATCTTCCAGGGGGTCAAGGAGCATTCAAAGAATGCATAATATTTATTTGTTTATTTATTTATTTTCAATATTCCATTCCCTTTAATTTTTTTCAGTGACACACAATTTACTCATGTAATAAATCTGCATATGTATCCCCTGAACCTAAAATAAAAGGTAGAGAGACAGGAAAGTATTATTTAAATCGAGAGTGGCAGGATGAGTAGATCTACCAAGTAGACGAGGCAATAAGCCTAGGAAACAAAGGGAACACCATGTGCTTTGGTATTCAAGAAATGGGAGGTAGTGGAGTCCTGTATAAGGTGTTTTGGTGAGAGTGCTGAAAGAGTAAAGGTACACTGGAATGAATCACAGTGGCATTTTTGGCTTAATTTCAATTTAATTTGTTGGCCATCATTACCCATCTATAACATAGTCATCCAAAAGCTTATTGGTTAAGAGGTACAAGTCTAGTAATCGTTTTGAAACAAATTATAAAGTACCAGAGTTTACACATAATTTGTTTTAAGAGTTATGAATTAGAAACACATTAAGATTATATGTATATATGTATATAACATACATACATACACATATTTAATAATTTTACTCTTACTTGCATTCTTCCTTGTTTGCTTGGAGGGTAGAATTACAGGCAGTGGTCAGATAATTACATTTATTTTTGAGAATTTCCACAAGAGTGGTTGACTCACTAGTATCATTTGTCATAATTAGAGTGAGATTGAGAGCCTCCTAAGAGGAGTGTAGGGAAGATGAGTGTGGGCAGGTTGGCTGGAGACTGATTTTAAAAGTCTTTGAATGTTATATTAAGTAAGGCACTTGAGTGTGTTGCAGGGACACTTTCAGTTCAGATCTGTGTTGCTGGAAGAAATTAGGCAGCAATGTAAGGTCAAGAGTTTGGAGCCTAAGAGACCAGTTATAAGGAGGTCGCAATATCAAATAGATGATAACCTGAATTCAGGTCATGTGAACAAGGATGGACGAAAATTAATGAGTCTCTGCAGAGGTAGAACAACAGGATAAGACAACTAAAATTAAGTGGTGCCACACAGTATTTGGCTTTCTCTGTCTGGCTTATTTCACTTTTGCAAATGCCCTCTAAGTTCATCCAAGTTGTTATAAATGTTAACACTTCCTTCTTTTTTATGGCTGGATATATTCCATTGTGTGTGTGTGTGTGTGTATAAATCTATACACCTACACTAGAGATAACATTTGAACAAAGAACAAAAGGAAATAATGAATGGGCGATGCAGTTATCTGAAGGAAAGAGTGGGTCAGGTAAACAGTAGAGCACAAGCGAAGACAGTGAGGTTGGATCATGCTTGGTATCTATATCTATCTATATCTATATCTATATCTGTATCTATATCTGTATCTATATCTATATCTGTGTCTATGTCTGCATATCTATCTATGTATCTATCTATCTATCATCTATCTACCACATTTGTGGAATTTTTAAAAAGTAGAACTCATAGAAAAACAGAGTAGAATGGTGCTTGCCAATGGCTAGGGAGTGGGGAAATGTTGGTTAAAGAGTACAAACTTTTAGTTAAATACACTTGGAGGTTCTGGTGTACAACTTGGTGACTATAATTAATAACATTGAATTGTCTGCCTGAAAATTGCTAAGACAATCAGATATTAACATTAATGCAATTAATTGAAATGCTTTTGTAAAATAAACTAAAAGTTGATTAGTAAACATCAATTTCTATTATCTTTCTAGCTATCATCTATCTATCTATTTGAAGTGATGGATAAATTAATTAAAATGATCGTGCTAATCATTTTGGATGCATACATATATCAAATCATCATGTTGTACACTTTAAATATATACAATTTTATTTGCCAATTCTACTTCAATAAAGCCAAAAAAAGTAAATGGGAAATTAGGGAGAAGGGAGAATATGAAATGACTCCCTGGGACATCTGTGTGGTTAGGCCTAATGATAATAATTATAGTCAATATTACATTTATCAAGTACTTCCTCCTTGCCAGGCATTGGGATGTATGCATTTTTCTCAACTTAACAATGATGAAAGTGAAACTTATTTAAGATAAATAATTTGGCTTAAGAGTGTTGGCTGGGAGTTGCCTGTAGACACTCTGCTTCCAAAGCCTCTATATTCATACTTAGCTACTGCACCATATGGCCTCTGGAGCTTAGGAGGGATGTCAGCGATAGAGATGGGGATTTGAGAGCTATTAGTTTCTAAGGGATCCCTGCAGTTGTGAAAGAAGATGAGTTTTCCTAGGGAGATATTATAGAAGGAGAATGCTGGCTGAACACATCATACAACTTAAGCAGAATAAAGTGATTATAGATATTTAATGTCATGCAATGTTTTAAGACTGCTTTACATTAATTTCCTCTTGCAAGCAAATGGCTTTCTGAGTGTAGTGATGTACCTTTGCTCAATGCAGTTCATCTCTCATTTATTTTTTGAGGATGAAGCCAATTTAACAATATGTATGACTAATTCTTTTCTTAAGAAATAGAGATGAAGAGGTGACCTTCTGCACTTCCTTCTGATGGCAGGTTAAAAAGAAAGGATTGGGGTTAGATGAACTGTCTGTATTTATCTGTTATATTATGATTATTTTGCTTCTTTATTTCACACGGTATGGCTAGATTTATTCACTATTGATCAGTATGAAAATAGGAACCAATTACAGGAAATTATAACACAAAAGAAAGAAAACACCCAGCTTTTTGATGTTACTATACAAGATAACTTTGAATTATTATTTATAGTGCAAAATAAAGAGGTAAAATTGTTGCATTGTTCCATAGTGACTTCAGTCTATCTTTCAAGTAAAAAAAAATCTTTTCCCATCATAATAGAAGTGACAACAGATTTTAAATGAAACGTAAGTCTCTAATATATATTGTCACTATACCTAATTTTCAATATATTCTCTGGTATAAAACATCTGATATTGGACAATATTTATGTAGAAGGTCAAGATTGTTTTTGTTTAGAAGGAAGAAACCCTAATTAAAATGAAAATATCTCTGGAAGGAATAGCTATTTAGTTTAGCTCTTCTCAAACTTGATTACATGGCAGAGTTACTATCTCAGGAGCTTGAAATAATAGCAGTGCCAGGGCTTCACTTCCAGAAGACACCAATTTAATTGGTTCGGGATAGAACATGGGCATTAGTATTTTTTTTTTTTTTTTGGCTTAAGACAACAGAAATTTATTGTCTCTCAGTTTTGGACAGCAGAAGTCTAAAATCAAGGTGTTGGCAGGGCTGCATTCCCTCTGATAGGTCTGAGGGAGAATTATTCCATGCTTCCTCCAGCTTCTGTGGGCTACTGGGGCTGCATAATTCCAACCTCTCCTTCTGTGTTTACAAGCCTTCTCTTCTGTGTGTTTAATCTCCCTCTGCCTTTCTTTTATAAGGACACTTGTCATTGGATTTAGGGCCCACTCAGATTATCCAGGAAAATCTTTTCTCAAGATCCTTAATTTAACATCTGCAAAGACCCTTTTGGCAAATTAGGTGATATTCACCGAGGCTGTAGGCTGAATTTTTCTCCTCCTTCAAATTCATACGTTGATGCCCTAAGCCCCAGTGCGATGGTGTTTGGATCTGGGGTCTTTGGGAAGTACTTAGGTTTAGATGAGATTATGAGGTGGGCCCTTCATTATAGGATTAGTGCCCCTATAAAAAGAGATACCAGAGCTTGCTCTCCCTTTCTCTGTCTCTGTCTGCCATGTGAGGACACATCTAGAAGGCAGCTGTCTGCAAGCCAGGAAGAGTGTCCTTTCCAGGAACTGAATCTGCTGGCATCTGCTTTTGGAATTTCCAGCCTCCCAAACTGTGAAAAAATAAATTTCTTTTGTTTAAGCCATCCAGTGAATGGCATTTTGTTATGTCATCACTAGATGACTAAGTCAATAGTTTGCAGCGATTAGGAATATCTTTTTGGGGACCACTATTCAACCCATTACAACTGGGTATCATTTGAAGCTTTTTGGTTATATTTTCATTTTCACAGCCCAGGATTAAAGTAAGAGAAAAACAAACTTCGGCATCTCTTTTCCCCCTCTCCCCCATATTAGAATAATTCTTGGGCATTAGTATTTTTTTTAACTCCCCATGGGATTCTAATACACAACTGAGCTAACATACATGATGGAATGGTCAGATCAGAGTCTCATAAATTGGAGAACTTATCCAGTGTTATGCTTTACTTGAGGCCCGTGTAGCTGGAACATGGCAGATGATGGGGAGAATAGGTGAGACGGGGCTGGAGAGGTGGGCTGCAGCCAGGCCAGGCAGGGACTTGTCAGTCATAGTTCTAGGTTTAGATTTTGCTCTCATAGCAATGGGAAGCTATTGAGAGGTATGAGGGGATATTTAAGTGGAGAAGGGAAAGTGGTTCCTGATCCACTTCTCTTAAGTCCCAAATTAACTGGGTGCTTATCCTTTGACAGAGAGCCCTCGTCAGATGTGTATTTTGGAGAGGATTACCAGTTTTCTATGCAGTGGCTATATCTGCTGCCAAAGACTTTGCTGGCTGGGAAAACACTGATTTCTTCAAGGGAAACGTCGTAAGGCAGGAGGGTGCATGACAACTTGTAAAAGTGGGGTTGATAACAGAGATAGAAACACTCAGTTTTTCGCATTGGGTTAGAATTATCTACAAGACAGTTTGAAGATGGGAAAATATTTTGACCCATCTCTGATAGTTTAGAGTAATATTAAAATTGACTACACAAATAAATAAAATGCATATAGGGATTAAAAATACCTATTATTTCATATGCAATGTAATACGTTGCTTAAGTTCTTTATTGCAGTGGAAACAAAAAAAAGAAAGAAATACAGTAGACAAGCCAAAATAATTTGCATAAAACACAACGGAAAGTGGCTGAGAAGAGGACAATTTAGGAAAATGATCTCTCCAGGAATGCTGCCAAGGTAAGTAGCAGTAGATATTGATTATATAGACCTGTCATGAATTGGTTTAACCAGTCATTCTGAAAATTGAATTGGATTTTTCTTTCTGAAATGATGTTTTTGAAGCTGTGCCAAATGCAATCTCTCTCCCTACCCATTCTAGTTTGTGTCTGCTTTTCAAAGTTAATACTGCTCAGATATTTATAATGTTGGTCACGGAAAAGTCTTTCTCTACGCCCAGAGCAAACTGACTATGTTACATCATTTTATGTGACAATTTCCTTCACTTGCAAAAATTATTGTATATTCTGAAATAGTGGATGTAAAATACGCAGTGCAGTGTGAGAATAGGTTAAGCACAGATGAGAAGGGAAAGCAGAAATTCATTGCAAGCTGTATAGATAAGGTGGCTATATAATGTATCCTCCAAACCTGGAAACTTTTGAGAGTAGCAGCAGATGCTGTAAGTAATCAGTACAACAGGCTTAAACTGGAGATGCTCTGGCCAAACTGGTACACATCACAACCCTGCAAATACGAAGAGATAGAAAAACCTGGGTGAAAGTGGAATGTTGATGACAGGTAGGTATTTGTTTTAGGAACAAGTGTCAGAATTCAGTTTCAGAATAAGATGTGTTGTCATTGCTAATGTTTGAAAGAATGGATTGTGGAATGGGACACATAGAATTTTGGAGGTTAATGAGAAAGCTGATGGCAACATCCTTTGTTTTAAAACTATGTCCAGCATTTTGAATGGGACTAAGAAGTTGATCAAGTCTAATTTTGGACTCTTTACCAAAACCCCAAAATATGTAAATAAAAGATAAATGAAGCATAAATAGCATCCTGTGACATGGAAAGTGAAAAATATTAACAAATATATCAAGAGATAACAGAGAGTGACTATCATGAAACTTTTAGATACAATCTGGTATGGCTCAGGAAGATTTCACGGGCCATGTACTGCTCCAGACAGGGCTTGAAATACGTATAGGCATTGGGGAAAGGACAGATGAGAATGAAGGCTATTTCAATATAGAGAATGGTAAAATGCAAGGTGTATATAGGTAATAATTTGACTGAAGTATATAGTATGTGAATGTGAGTTTTAGGAAATAAGTTTTCAGAAATAGTTTGTTACCAACTCATACAATGTCTCTGAGATTCAAAATGTGCCACTTGTCAATCGTTGGATACTTCACTAAAAGTTATGCCCAATATCCATGGACCTGATATTCATCAAAGCTAAACTGAAACTGAAGATCTTGACTGTAATAAACTGGTTCAGAATATAAAATTCTTATCAGCTTTATTAAGTTACTTTCTCTATGTATTATGCACCTACTATTTAAGTATTTGTTAACTAAGATTGCACTGTCATTTGAGATATAAATAAAATTGACTCAAAAAAAAAAAAAAGATTGACAGAAGCTTCTTGCCCTACTTCACACAGGAATTATCATGCTCCTCACGAACCCAGCATGGAGTCTGTGTTTCTGCTCAGCTTCCTCTCTTCCACAGCCTGCTGGCCCTCTCAGCTCTGTGCTGGCTCAGGTAGAGATAGCTTCCTTCCCCTTGTTTGTCCCATAAATCAGTTTCCATAAAGCATCTTGGTTTGTTGAAAGCAAAGTCATGGACAGACAAAGCCTTGGTAGAGGGGTTTTGAGGTGGTGAGAGGAGTGGGAGTCAGAAAGGATGACAGGCCCCCATGGGATGTGCTATTGATGCCTCTGTTGTGAGCAGCCAGGGCTCCACCCTACGAGAGCTTCCCAGGCAGCATGCAGAATGTCTGCCAGAGTGGTCCTTTTTCAAGACAGGAGTCTGAGCATATATTTGCCATCTTCTGCCCGCATTGGCTGAAGGTTGAAGTGGCTGTGCACACTCTCCTGAATTCTGATCTGGATTATATTGGGATGAACAGGCTGTTGTGGCATTTGAGAAGGCCCTGGGGCAGAATGCCCAGGAAGGGGGTGCAATCTTGCAGAGGGGCACTGGTCAATCTGTCTAGGCTCACTCAGAACTGTCCTCCAAGGACAGTTGGAGGCAAGAGCAACAGGTGCAAGTTTACAGAGTACTTATACAAAATGGATTTACCTTGGTTTTAGAGGATGTTTGTATAGCAGAAAATTAGGACATCAATTTAAAAATTAGCTATGAGACATCTCTGTCTCTACATGGTGTCTGATTATCCCAAATTCCTCTTGGAGCATCTTATTTTCTAGACACTTTAAAATTTACTCTTCCCAACTTGCTGCTTCATCCCTTAACTCACTTTAAATCTCAGGTTTCTCTCACTTTGGGAGTTTATATAAAAGTTCATAAACTTTTATATAAACTGCTTCATTGGGGCTTTCTTGTGAAATCTAAAGTCCTGAGATCAGGCAGCACAATTCACATTTCTACTCCTAGTTAGGATCTGGACTATCATTTGCATATCCAAAAAATGTGTTTACGTTCTTGTTGAAGACACAGTCATCTACTCTGAGTGCCATGTTAGACGCATCAGAGAAGAACTGAAAAAGATTATGAAAGGTCAGCTTTCTCTTATCCCATTCTCTCTCAGCCAAGGTAAGTTAAATGAAGCAGTTTAGAAATTTATTTCCCCCTTAATATGAATGATGCCTCCCACTCCCAGTCTGACGACTTCCTAATGGCAGAAGGGCCTACAGGCAGTATTGATTTTAAATAGTTTATTTTTTCCCTTGAATCTTAGAGAAGTTGAGTAACTTCCTATTGACACAGATGATGAGTGGCAGAGCCGGGATTTAGATTCACTTATATCTGTTTGATGCCAAAGCCTCATACCAAATATATAATCATTGCACTAGATTACCTTTCTAAAAAATAATGCCATGCTTATATTTAGTGAACCTCTTCACTCTTTCTCACCTAGCTAGAACTGGCTGAAAAGTTGGAAGTCAAAAACAGGAATTTATATTATTTGAATAAATTCAATCTAGCTAATTATCTAGCAAATTAAATGCTGAGGAAAACTTTGTTTTTTATAGTTGATATGCCAATTGCTTTTACATCACCTGAGTATTAAACTCAGCTGCATTTTTCTTTTTCACAAATCTGGGAAAATGGGATAAAGAAAAAAAATCTAGGAAACTACCTAAAATAGTAAGACCCTAATTAAGAATCTGTGCATTTAGGCCAAATGCAATCAGCATCAAAAATAACATGAGAAGGTAAAACAAAAACATTATGTGTGGGTCTTCAGCATAATTGATCTTGAATTTTTCTGTCATAAAACTCAAGACTCACATTCCTCTAGCCTCCTTCTCCCAATTGATTTTTCTATTAAACTTTACAATTATGTATATGCACGCAGAGTTTATTTATTTATATACGAAATGACTGATGGAGTGGCTAAGTTGAATTTTTTTGGATATGTTTTGTTATCAAAACACAATTTTCAGGACTAGACTCATACAAAATTTTAAACTAATTAGCAAACGTTATATTTTGTTTTTGCATTACTGCATTATCATATAGATTTATAGAGAAGTATAAAAAAAAATAACATACATAATATGGACTATAAAGCTTTATATAAAACATACATATACCAAAAAAAGAGAATGTGATATTATTATATACAATTTCAGAACTATCTTTACTCTTTTGTTTCATTCCATAGCATCTATGTGTTTACTGAAGAATTTAGAAAGGTATTGGTTCCACATATAGTTTTTAATATGAAGCTTAATATATTTCAGCTGTGGCTGTTTTTGCCCATACAATTTGTGTCTTTAATTATTAGTATAGTTAACCAGTATACATCGAGCTCTTTAGAAGACCTCCTTTCTCTCTCTCTCTCTCTCTCTCTCTCTCTCTGTGTGTGTGTGTAATTTTCCAAGAGAGTTCTTAAAAATGCTCCAAACCAGTGTCCTTAGTATTAAGTCCTAAAAGAAAAAGCCCTTATCAGAGATGAACTATATACAGGCTCTGATATTCTAAAGTCATCTTTCATTTCCTCCAAAGCAAAGTAATTGTGTTGATACTGAGATGTCAATGAAAAAAAAATAAGTTTGCTCTTCTAGAAATACAGTTTAATAATTGCCATTGCTGTCATTATAAGGACAATAATGCACTTAGTTTTTCCTCCAAAAAGGTTAAGGACACTGTTACATTATCAAAAGTAGCACTTTCAAAATTGCACAAAATGATACATGTTCTTTTGAAGGCATTTTATCAATGGCTATTGATTGAACCCAGAAACCAGATTTAATAATGACTGCTTTGCTAAGTACTTGTCACAGCGAAGTTTCTCAACCAGCAATCTTTAAATGAGAAGGCTGTACTTGCATTGACACCTCTTCTTAAGACTACCCTGTAAGACTTTAAGTGTATCAAAATAATATTTATTTAAACTGGAAAAAGGCACATTGTAGTAGTTTTATTATATTATTTTCAGCATGCTTTTAAATTTGTACTATGATGAGGATAAATTTTAATTTAATAAACATCAGGTTTTCCTTAGATTTGAGGGTAGAATGTATATCCTTAATCTTTAGAAAAATATATGGGTTTGATGTTTAAATTACACAATTAAGAAATTAATCTAGTGGTCTAAAAAACGATTGAACAATTTGAAGTCAGTGGATAATTTTACTATATTCCTTGTAAATTTTAATCTTTAATGTTTTGTATTAACTATATGCATCTTTATTAACTAACATTTTCTAGGTAAAAGTTTTATCTTGCAAAGTAATATCAAAGTAGTATGTCAAATAAAAATTATTGAGCATGAATTTACTAGGTCTTGTTTTGGCTAAATTGACCAAATTAAATAGTATTGCATAGTTCTATTTTCAAAATAAATTAAGGCTTTTCTGCTTGTGAAACACAGTTGACAAACGAGTAAGGACAGTTCAAAGTGAAATTGTGTCAAGAACTGTGAAGGGTCTGTGATTTTTCCCTACTTGCAACCTAATAAATTAAACTGCTAAAGGTTTATGGATGCTGACAGAATATAGGAGACTACTGTGTCAGAGACAAAAGACTTTATTACTCGCAGCAATCTGGCAGTCTGAATACCAGCATTGCCCTAATTCTTCAAGCCCCTGACCACACAGAGTGACACAACGAAACCCAGGTATTACCTGCAGCCGCACTGGGATATGTTACAAGATGGGGACTCTGAAGCTGGAACCTGAATCTTTTCTTATGGACAGTAAGCAAGCCCAACTTGAGAGAGAGAGAGAGAGAGAGAGAGAGAGAGAGAGAGAGAGAGAGAGAGAGAGACTACTCACTTTCCCAGGTTATTCACTATCCAAACATACTTGAGAAGATAGTCTATTGCTTACCAGTAGCAGTGTCTTTCTGCAAGACCTGTAGAAACCTGAGACACTTCTGGAGACTTGTCTCCTAACAGGCTGGTTTCCATGAGTTTCTGATTCACATACGCTGTGTTTTCATTCAACAGAATCCTGTGAAAGTCTGGGTCGGTTGATAAGCAGATGTAGCAATCGCTTAGTTTGTTCAAGTTTTCATCAGTAGGTATGTACTGTGAGCAGGCAAACAATACGGGACTGCCAAAAATTTGCACTAGCATTTTTTTCTTTTTCCTATTTATTTATGTATTTATTCATCTAATGATTTGATAAATATTTTTACGATAATATATACAAGTAATATAAATAAGACCTGTCCTCAAAAAGTTAACTAATAAAGAAGAAAGAAAATTAAAACATTAATTATAGAGAAATGAATTATATATTAGATCTTTTGATAGGGATATGGGAACATGACTGGGAGATGTCAAAATCCAGTTATGGAAATTTTGTTCAAATTCACAGAATTTTGAACAAACTATCTTTATTTATCAGAAGCGGCACTTGTACTCTACTATCTACAACATGTTGAATGATCACAGTTGACTTCAGCCATTGTTTGTTAAAATGGGCTTTAAATTTATACTTTATACTGTGATTGATGTTGTGATGAAATACATGACTCAGAGGTGTAGTAGGTGATCATTAACATGTATTTTTTTAGGTGACTGTTTCTGTTCAGTCTTTGCCATGCCATCTAAAAATTGCCTTCCAGATACTATTAGGATCTGTTTAATTGGTTTTCAATTCAGGATTAATTAATTAAAAATATTGCATTATCTCGACTAGTTCAGCAAGGTCTCTTATAGTTTAAAAAGAATGAACCAGTTAGAGGATGGAATTAGAAAATAGCCAACTGTTGATTCATTTTGTAGTTTGATGTTTTGCACATTGTCACTTAAATTTCCTCATTCTCTAAAATTATTTTATGCTCTCTATCTATATAATATTTATTCCTTTCATAAGACTAAAATAGAAATTTCCTTGGCTTTCATCTTTTCTTAATGCTTTAACAGCTTTATTCAGGGAGAATTTACAGCTCTATAATTCTTTCATTTTAAATGTACAGTTTGGTGAGTTTTACTATTTATGCAGATATGCAACCATCACTAAAATCCAGTTTTAGGACATTTCTGTCACCCCCCCCCCCAAAAGTTTCTTCCTGCCATTTTCCAATCCTCACTCTCATCCCTTTGCCCTGTTAACCACTCATTTGCTTTATGTCTCTATAGTTTTTACCTTTCCATAAGTTTTGAAAAAATGAAATTACATAATATATAGTTTTTTGTGTCTGACTTCTTTTATTTAGCTTTTGAGATTCACCCATACTGTTGCATAAGTCAGGAGTTCTCTCCTTTTTATTTCTGAGTATTATTTCAATGTATGGATGTGCTACCATTTGTTTATCCATTGAGCAGTTTGAAGTACATTTTTGTTGCTTCTATTCTTTGGTTATTATGAATAAAGATACTATAAATATTTCCATATAAGCCTTTGTGTAAATATTTATTTTCATACTTTGTAGCCCATATGGTAAGTGTATGTTGAACTTATTACAAGGCTGCTAACCTGTTTCCAAAATGGTTATACTATTTTATGTTCTCATCAGCAATACAAGAGGGTTACAGTTTATCCTTATCTTTGCCAACACTGGGTGTTATCAGTCTCTCTGATTTTAGCCAAGCTAGTGTGTGTGGTGGTATTTCACTGTAATTTTATTTTCAGTGTTTCTAATGATGATTGATGTACATCTTTTTATGGGAATATATATCTTCTTTGGTGAAATGTCTATTTACCTTTAACCTTTTCTAAATAGGGTTATTTGTCTTCTTATTAAGCTACAAGCATTTCATATATTTTGCACATATTTTCTCCTTGTCTATGGCCTGTTCTTTTATTAATGTTAACTTTTGAAGAGGAAAAGTTATTAATTTTGATGAATCCAATTCACTAATTTTTATATTTTTGTTAATTTGGGATATCAGAATATTTGAAGTTCTTTAGCTATAGTCACCAACATTTATCTCTGTCAGTGGCTCTAGGACACTTCAAGCTCCTGGTCCCCTAGACAATGAGGACACAGGTACTAACAACATTCACCTTGGTGACTCCTTCTGCTTTCATAGATGACAAGCACTCCTTCTAACTGACACAATGCTTAGATAGTTAAATATGTAGAATTCCAGTCCTAAATCCTCATTCCAGCTTTCTTTTTCCATTCACTTCCAGAGAGCAAAATATCTCCATGATTTCTGTATTATTGGTGAAGCCACCTCAAAGCCCCTAATAAATAAAATAATTACCTTTATTATTATTATGGTCACATTATAGCTAGGTAAGGACTTATATTCTTGATCTTAGCTACCTGTGTAACACAAGACCTGCTTAAAGATAAAAATTTGCTTGATGTCATGATTGATTAAAATATTGTTAATTGGGCAAATTGATATTATTCAGCCTCAAGGGATAGTAATACAATATTTCATGTTTAATACATTTAATAAAATGGTATTTTGTCTATAAGAATCACTAGCCTTTCCATTTTTAAAAACTACTTAAATCTCAACTCCCTGTTGACATTTTGCTTTTATTGCAGGAATAATGGTAAAGAGAAAGACTAGATCCATGTTAGCAAACTGATACACTTAAGCATGCTATGCCATTTGCTTTAGAGGATTTGTTATTCAAATTTTCCAGCTCTTTAAAGATTGACAGATGTGTACATTGCAAAGAAAGGTAAATAGCCTCTGAGGCTCAAGGATATTTCTACAGAGTATTAAGTGCATCTAAAAGCAAGAAAGTTAATAACTTTTATTTCCTAATGCCGAAATGTGAATAAAATGTTTAATGCTCAACCGACCTACCAAGGACCTTTCTATTCTTGTTAAGATTTCTTCCTCTGTGAATATCAACTAGAAAATTCTTATAATTCTACATTATTATTCTTTAATTACTTAGTTTTAAAAATGTGGTTAAAGTACTTCAATGAACTTTCAACCTCATATACATACTTTCATCGTTTCACATATACATAATACAAAGATATATATGGCAGAGAGTATAAAATATCCGAGGGAAATATATGCCAATCTTAGATTGAATAGTATTTAATAAACAGAACAAAACAGAGAAAAATGTTATTTAAAATGCCGTTATTTTTCCTCAAATCTACAGTAATAGAAATGAGAATACATGGCTGAAGCTAATACATATTTTCATTTATATCCATAGAATAAAAATATTTGCAATCTGTTCTCCAGGTTGTTGCCTATATGTCTAAAATGGTAACATTTATCATGTCATTTCCTTGCTTTAGATATGTTAATGGTTACCTATCAATTGCTAGATAAAATAGAAATTTATCTTCCAAATGTAGTCTTTACTTGTCCTTTTCTTACACATCTTTTCTTACTGCTACATAACATCTCCTGAGCAATTACTTACAGTTTATTCTTTTTTTTAGTTCAATGAAGATTTGTTGATAATCTGTAATATAGTAGATTTTCACCCCTGGAAATACCAAGATGATTAAGGTTTATTTTAAGCCTTCAATGTTTCATAGAGCTCACAGTCTAGTAATGGAACATTACTATGCTCTTCTTCATCCTCCTCCTCCTTACAGTTACTATAATTCCTTGTTTCCATCGGAGCGATGCTGTGCAATGTTTTATATGTATGAACTCACATAGCCTGTATCGTAACCTGTAAGGTAGGCATATTTGTCTCTACTTTAAGGATGTAGAAATTAAGCCTTAAAGATGTTAAACAATTTGATTCAAGCTATACCGCTAATATTTTCATAAGTCATATATCTGGATTTTTCACTCATCTATGCCCCTGTGCTTTTAACCTTTTCTGCAATTATTCTACAAAGATTCTCCTGTAACAAATTTCAGTACTCTATGGGAAACACCACAGCAGTAGAGAAGACTATGGAAATGGGGTTGAGGGTGGCCACCGTCCTACACATCGTGATAAAGGGCTTACGTTGTGCTTCATAGAGGATAAATCACTTCAGTTGAATCTTAAAGAAAGATTGTGACTCTACTAAGTGGACAAAGAGTGGGGAGGAGAATATTTCAGTTATATGCTCTGTAACAAACAGAAGAGCACAGCATTGGAGGAGCAGGAAGGAGCATTCGAAATAGCATGGGATAGTCTCAGATTTCTGTGATCTGTGTGTGTGTGTGTGTGTGTGTGTGTGTGTGTGTGTGTATGTTAGAATATCTTCACATAGAACATAGTGTGTGATTTACAAATATGACATTTTTCTGATATTTTAGTCATCAGTTCTCTAGAAAGATACTCAATTGGACGATCTTTCATTTTCCAATAAGATAATATTGTTGACAATATAACCATTTGTCATACTAATACTGAATTATTTTACCTAATATGATGATATAACACAAAAATCATTTAAGTTTTTAATTACAAAAGTTATTAAAATTGATATCCTGAACCCAAAGATTAACAATGATCATGGGACTTTCTGGGGTTCTTCTGCTTATGATTCTTGTGTTTTAGTCTTTTTAACCCTAGGGAATGCTGCTGCATAACTACCAAGAATTACAGTTTTCAAACTAGTGTCTATCCTTGCATTCTCTATGCTGACTATTGCTATAGGTTTGTTTCTTAAGGATTTCAACTTTTTCTCTTTTATTTGTATGTACATTTCAAGCTTCTTCTGAATAATGGCTAATAATGGCTGGATATAAATTCTCCAGACACATAAATCTTATTACCTAAGCACTTTTGTACTGTTGTGCTAGATGCTTCTTATATGTGCTTTTTCTTTATACCTGAAGTGGAAGCCACTGCTTGCGTTGTGCAGTCAGTGTTAATGAGAAAAAGCCCAATTCCTTTCACAATCTATTTAGGAATGTTAAGAAGGAAATTAGAGACATTGTCTAGGTGTTGGATTTCATCAATCTGAGAAGAAAAACCTATTATTCTGAAAATTTATTATCTATCATACAAGAAATCATCAAGAATACCATTTACTGATAGTCTGACCTACTTCTCACAGGACCACACGCTGAAACTCTGTGATGTTTAACAAAGAGAAACTGACTGGATCATTTTAGCGTCCCTCAGCATAGGGCTCGCTCTGTAGTCATGCGTCACCTTTCTGTGAGTGTAGTGGCTGGTTGCACCTCCCAGCTGAAACCTGCCTACTGCTGAGTGCGAGCAACTACCATAGGGAAAAGCTAAGGGGGACCGCATCTCCTAAAAGGTGCCTTTTTCAAAGTGAGTGCTGTGTTTCCATGGACTCCTTAAGGACAACTTACAGATCAGAGTATCCAAATGGCTAAAAAACATGATACAAAAATGTAAAACTTCACTATTAAAAATTCAAATTATCCCTGGCACATTGGCTCACACCTCTAATCCTAGTACCTTGGGATGGGATTCTGAGGCAGGAGGATTGCTGGAGGCTGGAAGTTGGAGACTATCCTGGCCAACATAGTGAGACCCTCATCTGAAAAAAACAAAAAATTCAAATTAAAAGGAAAAAAAGAGTATCCTTTAATGTAGAGATCAATGCGGAATAAAAGAAAAACTAAAATATTTTATTATCGTTTCATAAGCATTTAATATGTTTTCTTCTTCCCCAGTATAGTAGTAGGTGGTTATTTTCTAATGTAATAATTGTAGAATTGAGTTGTAGACTAGATACAATCACATCCAGTAAAATCACTTAACACCCTTAGAGATTTCAGAAAAAAGACCTATTTTTGAAATCATATTTGAGCATATAAACAAATATATTAGTTTGCTAGTGAGCATGAGAAAATGTAGCCTTTCCTGGACTTTTGAGAAGCCCAACAATGAGCTGTTGCAGTGTAGTAGAAGACTCGAGAATTTGGAGTTTACTCAGGTTTACAGCAAACTGGCCTAAACATTTCACTTTAATCATTCTTAAAGGCATCCTTAAAGTCTTTTTAATTAAAAAAAAGCCATAACTTGATTTTAGAAACTGTCCAAATATTTCACAAAGCCTAATTAGGCTCTTCTTTTTATACTGTAACCAAATGTCCCCTTTTATGAGCTGTAGTCCTTAATTCAGATACTATGGTGTATATGCCAGGAGTGTTGCTCTTCTTCATTGCCACTCTCCCAAAGCATCTTACATATTTATGTCTGTAATTTTAGCATTTCCACTTTCTGCCTTTTGTTTAAATTATTTCACCAGATCATGTTTCTTGATTTTTATTTTTCCTATTAAATTTTTTTTTGAATACAGATAAAATCTATTTTATTATTTAAAATTTTGCTTACTTTTCTGATTGACAGTAGTAATGCCTATATAGGGTGTTTAACTATTCGCATATTGGACTTTAAACATGAATACCTCAATATTGGAGATCCAGTATTATCTTCTGGAACTAAATCACTTGTATGGAAGGGATGAAGAGAGCTGTCACTCATAAATATTCTTTATATTCAGGACATTTTTCAGGTGGAGTTTTGCAAGTGGTTATTTAAGACTGAAAGTCAACTTGCAGCAACATATTTTCATCTTCATCAGTTCTTATTTATTGAATGTCCACTGAGTCAGCGGCCTGTGATTAGTATATTTCATAGGCTGTCATGGGATGATTTGCCAGTAACTCTGGATCCCTGGATTTAGACGATTAAAACTTCCAGTGTGGATTTTCAATTTCTAACTTTATTTTTATATCTGGGAGTTATTTCATGTGAAATAATGTTGAAATAATACATGTTAGAAGGTAGAGTTTTGTTGTTTTAGGGAATAATAATAGAAGATACTTTTCTATTTCTTTGTCTTCTTTTTTTCAACTTTTATTTTAAGTTCAGGGGTGCATGTGCAGGATGCGTAGGTTTGTTACATAGGTAAATGTGTGCCATGGTGGTATGCTGCACACATCATACCATCACCTAGGTATTCAGCCCAGCATCCATTAGCTATTCTTCCTGATACTCTCCCTTCTCCCACTCACCCCTTTGACAGGCCCCAGTGTGTGTTGTTACCCACTGTGTGTCCATGTGTTCTCATCATTCAGCTTCCACTTCTAAGTGAGAACATGTTTGGTTTTCTGTTCCTGTTTTGGTTTTCTGAGGATAATGCCTTCCAACTCCATCCATGTCCCTGCAAATAGCATGATCTCATTCCTTTTTATGGCTGCCTAGTATTCCATGGTATATATGTACCACATTTTCTTTATCCAGTCTCTCACTGATTCCATGTCTTTGCTATTGTGATTCCATGTCTTTGCTATTGTGAATAGTGCTGCAATGAACATTTGCATGCATGTATCTTTATAATAGAATGACTTATATTCCTTTGGGACTATACCCAGTGATGGGATTGCCAGGTCAAATGGTATTTCTGCCTCCAGGTCTTTGAGGAATCACCTCATGGTCTTCCACCATGGTTGAATTAATTTATCCTCCCACCAGCAGTGTGAAAGCATTCCTTTTTCTCTGCAACCTCGCCAGCATCTGTTGTTTCTGGACTTTTTAATAATCACCATTCTGAATGGTGTGAGATGGTTACTCATTGTGATTTTGATTTGCATTTCTCTAATGATCAGTGTTTTTGAGCTTTTTTTTTTTTTTCCAAATATCTGTTGGCCATATGTATGACTTCCTTTGAGAAGTGTTGGTTCAGGTCCTTTTCTCACTATTTAATGGGTTGTTTTTCTTTTCTTGTAAATTTGTTTCAGTTTTTTGTAGACTCTAGATATTAGACCTTTGTCAGATTGAAAAAATTTTCTCCCATTCTTTAGGTTGTCTGTTCACTCTGATCACAGTTTCTTTTGCTGGGCAGAAGCTTTTCAGTTTAATTAGATCCCATTTGTCACTTTTTGCTTCTGTTGCAATTGTTTTTGGCATTTCGTGAAATCTTTGCCTGTGCCTATGTCCTGAATGGTATTGCCTAGATCTTTCTTCTAGGGTTTTTACAGTTTTGGGTTTTGCATTTAAGTGTTTAATCCATCTTGAGTTAATTTTTGTATATGGTGAAAGGAAGGGGTCCAGTTTCAATTTTCTGCATATGGCTAGCCAGTTCTCCCAGCACCATTTATTAAATAGGGAATCCTTTCCCCATTGCTTGTTTTTGTCAGGTTTGTTGAAGATCAGATGGTTGTAGGTGTGCAGTCTTATTTCTGAGTTCTCTGTTCTGTTCCATTGGTCCATGTGTCTGTTCTTGTACCAGTACCATCCTTTTTTGGTTATTGTAACCTTGTAGTATACATTTTGATGCCACACAGCATTATGCCTCCACCTTTGTTCTTTTTGCTTTGGATTGTCTTCGCTATTCAGGCTCTTTTGGTTTCATGTGAACTTTAAAATAGTTTTTTCTAATTCTGTGAAGAATGTCAATGGTAGCTTAAGGAAATAGCATTGAATCTATACATTACTTTGGGCAGTATGGCCATTTTCATGATATTGGTTTTTCTATCCATGAGCATGGAATGTTTTTCCTTTTATTTGTGTCCTCTCTGAATTATTTGAGCAGTGGTTTTTAGCTCTTCATGAAGAGGTCTCCTAGGAGATGAAACAAAGCCATCAGTGGAGAAATCTGGTGTGGGTGTGCTGGAGAGGGGGCAGTTTAAGGAGAGGGAATAAAATTTGAGTGGTTAACAAGGTCAAATTAACAACTTCTGATTTTTGTATTGTTAACATAGTAGAGGCAATTGTGCATTTGAAAAGGGAGAATTAGTATGCCATGCTTGAGATGATGGATGTAAGTGATCACTTTCTTAATGGATCTTAGTTACTTCTTTTCTTGGCATTCTTTCTCAATTTATTGTAACTTCCTGGAAGGCAGATGTGAATACTTTTTCAGGTTTGTGTTCTCAGGGTGTTTGACAGTACCTGGTATTTAGTGGGAATACTAAAAACATCTGCTGAAGTGAACTAAATTTAATTATGGGGGTTCATGCTCAGGAAGTTGGTTTAATGTTAAGAAATATCCAATAAAAATTAGAAAATGGAGTGGGAAGGTGTATTAGTCAATTTTCACACTGATATAAAAAACTACCTGAGACTGGGTCATTTATAAAGAAAAGAAATTTAATTGACTCACAGTTCCACATGGCTGGGGAGGCCTCAGGAAACTGACAATCTTGATGAAAGGCAAAAGGGAAGGAAATACCTTCTTCTAAAGGTGGCTGGAGAGACAGAGCAAAGGGAGGCAGTGCCACTTTTAAATCTTAGATCTTGTGAGTACTCACTCATTATCACGAGAATACCATGGGGGAAACTGGCCCCATGATCCCACCAGGTCCTTCTCTTGACAAGTGGGGATTACAATTTGAGATGAGATTTGGGTGGGGAAACAGAGCCAAGCCATATCATTCTGCCTCTGGCCCCTCCCAAATCTCATGTTCTTCAAACACTGCATAATACAATTATCCCTTCTCAACAGTTCCCCAACGTCTTAGCTCATTCCAGCATTAACCAAAAGTTCAAGTCCAAAATCTTATCTAAGACAAGGGAAGTCCCTTCTGCCTATGAGCCCGTAAAATCAAAACCAAGTTAGTTACTTCCAAGATACAGTGCAGGTACAGGCATTGGGTAAATGTTCCTGTTCCAAGTGGGAGAAATTGGCTGCTTTGTGCAGCCTCTGGACTTAGTGCTCTGTGTCACAGCCACTCCAGCTCTAGCCGTGGCTAAAAGGAGCCAATATACAGCTCAGGGTATTGCTTTAGAGGGTACAAGACCCAAGCCTTATCAGCTTTCATGAGGTGTTGGGCCTGTGGGTATGCAGAAGACAAGAGCTGAGCTTTGGGAGCTTCCACCTAGATTTCAGAGGATGTATGAAAATGTTTGGATGCCCAGGCAGAAGTCTGTAGGGGTGGAGCCCTCATGGAGAACCTCTACTAGGGCAATATAGAGAGGAAATGTGGGGTTGGAGCCCCTGCACAGAGTCACAACTGGGGCACTGCCTAGTGAACCTGTGAGAAGAGGGCCATTGTCCTCCAGTTTCCAGGATTGTAGATCCACCAACAGCTTGCACCATGCATCTGGAAAAGCCACAGGCACTCAATGTTAGCCCATGAAAGCAGCTACGGGGGCTGTATCCTGCAGAGCTACAGGGATGGAGCTGCCCAAGGCCTTGAGAGCCCACTCCTTGCATCAGCATGGCCTGGATGTAAGACATGGAATCAAAGGAGATTATGTGGGGGCTTTAAGATTTAATGAGTGCCCTGCCAGGTTTTGGACTTGCATCGGACCTGTGGCCCCTTTGTTTTGGCCAATTTCTGTCTTGATGATCTGTGTAATATTGTCAGTCGGGTGTTAAAGTCTCCCACTATTACTGTGTAGGAATCTAAGTCTCTTTGTTGGTTTCTATGAACTTTTTTTATGAATCTGGGTCCTCCTGAATTGGGTGCACATATATGTAGAATAGTTATCTTTTCTTATTGAATTGAACCCTTTACCATTATGTAATACCCTTCTTTGTCTTTTGTAATAGTTCTTGGTTTAAATTCTGTTTTGTCAGAACCTAAGATTGCAATCCCTGATTTTTTCTGTTTTCTATTTGCTTTGTAAATTTTCCTCCATCCCTTTATTTTGAACCTATGTGTGTCCTTCCACATGAGATAGGTCTCTTGAAGACAGTATACCAATAAGTCCTTGTTCTTTATCCAACTCGCTATTCTGTGTCTTTTAGTTGGGGCATTTAGCCCATTAACGTTTAAAGTTAGTATTGTTATGTGTGAATTTGATCCTTTCATCAAGATGCTAGCTGGTTATGTTGCCGACTTGTTTATGTGGTTGCTTCATAGAATCACTGGTCTGTGTGCTTCAGTGTGTTTTTGTAGTGGCTGGTAACAGTTTTTCCTTTCCATATTTAGTGCTTCTTTCCAGAGCTCTTGCAAGACACTCCTGGTGCTGACTAATTCCCTCAGAATTTGTTTGTCTGAAAAGGATCTTATTTCTCCTTCACTTATGAAACTCAGTTTCCCAGATATAAAATTCTGGGTTGGAATTTTTTTTTTCTTTGAAAGTGTTGAATATCTAATGGATGCAGGGCTTAATACCTAGATGATGGGTTGAAAAGTGCAGCAAATCACCATGGCACATGTTTACCTATGTAACAAACCTGCACATCCTGCACATGTATCTCAGAACTTAAAATAAAATAAATAAAATAAAAAAAGAATGTTGAATATTGCCTCCCCCCTTCCCAGTTTCTTCTGGCTTGTAGGGTTTCCACACAGAGGTCCACAGTTAGTCTGATGGACTTCCCTTTGTAGGTGACCTGGCTTTTCTCTCTGGGTGCCATTAACATTTTTTCTTTCATTTTGACCTCAGAGAATCTGATAATTATGCATCTTGAGGTTGACCTTTTCATGGAGTATTTTACTGGGGTTCTCTGCATTTCCTGAATTTGAATGTTGGCCTGTATTGCTAGGTTGGAGAACTTCTCCTGGATGATATCTTGAAATATGTTTTCCAACTTTGTTCTATTCTCCCTGTCCCTTTTAAGTATACCAATCAGTTGTAGGTTCAGTCTCTTTACATAATTTCATATTGTTTGGAGGCGTTGTTCATTCCTTTTCATCCTGTTTTCTCTATTCTTGTCTGCCTGTCTTATTTCGGAAAGATAGTCTTCAAGCTCTGAGATTCTTTACTCTGCTTGCTCTATTCTGCTATTAATACTTGTGACTGCATTGTGAACTTCTCATGTTGTGTTTTTCAGCTCCATTGGTCGATTATGTTTCTCTCTAAACTGGCTATTCTGGCTATCAGCTCCTGTATTTTTTAAATCATGATTCTTAGCTTCTTTGCATTGGGTTACAACATGCTCCTTTAACTCAACAGAATTCGTTATTAGCTACCTTCTGAAGCCTACTCTGTCAATTCAGCCATCTCAACCTCAGCCCAGTTATGTGCCCTTGCTGGAGATGTGTTGCTGTCATTTGGAGGAGAAGAGGCTCTCTGGCTTTTTGAGTTTTCAGTGTTTTTGCATCGATTCTTTTTCATCTTTGTTGGCTTATCTACCTTTGATATTTGTGGTTGCTGACCTTGAATGGGGTTTTTGTGGGTTCTTTTTGTGTTGATCTTGTTGTTGTTGTTGTTTTCTGTTTGTTTTTCCTTTAACAGTCAGGCCACTCTACTGTAGGGCTGCTGCGGTTTCCTGAGGGTCTGCTCCAGACTCCAGTTGCCTCAGTTTTCCTTGTACTTGGAGATTCACCAGTGAAGTCTTTGAAGAAGCAAAGATGGCAGCCTGCTCTTTCCTCTGGAATCTCCATCCCAGGAGGGTACTGACCTGTTACCAGCCCAAATGTGCCTGTAGGGGGTGGCTGGAGACCCTTGCTGGGAAGTCTCGCCCACTCAGGAGGAATGGGATCAGGGACGCGCTTACCGAAGCAGTCTGGCTGCTTTCTGTTAGAGCAGGTGTGCTGTATTGGGAGGACATTTCCTCATCCAGACTGTTTGGATTCTCCAAAGCCAGCAGGCTGAAACAGCTGGGTCAAAACCAAACGTCAGAGATGGCAGTTCCCCCTATCCCCAGGAGCTTTGTCCCAGGGAGAGATCAGAGCTCTGTCTGTGGAACCCTGGCTGAAGTGGCTGAAGCCCTCACAGGGGAGTTCCACCCAGTGAGGTGGAGTGGATTGGGGTCTTGCTTAAAGAAGCAGTCTGGCCACAATCTGGTAAGGCAGCTGTGTTGTGTTGTTGGAGGCCCTTTCTTGTCTGGACCATCTGTATTCTCCAAAGCTGGCAGGCTAGGACAGCTGAGTCTACAGAACTGCAGAGATGCCAGCCATCCCTCCCCTGGGAACTTGGTCTTGACTCAGGCAGACTTCAGCCTGTTGCTGTTGGCACACTAGAATTTCACACCAGTGGGTCTTAACTTGTGAGGTCCTGTAGAAGTGGGGTCTTCAGAACAACGCTGCTTGGCTCCCTGGATTTAGCCCTCTTTCTAGGGATATGTTTGGATGTATCTTCCACTTTGCCAAGGATCCTGGGACCAGAGTATTTAAAACTCCTTGGTTTTTGTGTATGTCTGAATGGCTGCTCTGTCCTAACTCCACACAGCTCTGCGTATCAGACTCTGGTGGCGCAGACTCATGAGGGGATTTCCTGATCCATGGGTTGCAAAGATCTGTGGAAGAGGCTGGTTTATCAGGTGAAGTCACACAATCACTCACCACTTCTCTTGGCTGGGGTTGGGGGTTCCTTTGCCCCCATGCTGCTCCCCGGTGGGTAGTCACCCACCCTGCTTTTCTTCATTCTCCGTGGGTCAGATTGTTTGCCTAGTCAGTCCCAATGCAAGAACTTGAATATTTCAGTTGAAGGTGCTGAATTCACTCATCACTTTCATTCCTCTGTGATTGCCGTGGACACAGTTGCTTCTATTTGGCCATTTTGGCCCCACCCTCATGTAGTTTTTTCCATAGCAGATACTTTCAAATGAATAAGAAGAGTCTTGGTAATTGCAAAATTTTCCAATATAAAGAGTGCAATTAAATGGCAGAAAGTGCAGAAATATTTTAATCTAGTTTTAAACTTTTGAACCTGCACACTCCAGAAATGTTTATATCAGTGATTTTTTAAATGGAGACAAATGATGATCAACATCCCCGGGGAGGCTTTTAGAAACCAGATGTCTTAATCCATTTGCACTGGTATGACAAAATACCCAAGACCGGGTAATTTATACAGAATATAAATTAATTTTCTCAGAGTTCTGGAGGCTGGGAAGTCCAAGATTAAGGTGTCAGCAGATTCAGTAGTCAGGTGAGGGCTGCATCCTCTGGAGGGGAGAAACACTATGTTCTCACATGGCAGAAGGCAGAAGGGCAAGAAAGCCCAACACTGTGCAGCATCTTTTTAAGGGCCTTAATCCCACTCATGAGGGAAGAGCTCTCGTGGCCTCGTCACCTTTTAAAGGCCCTGCCTCTTACTGCCATCACACTGGAAATGCCTGAATTTAGGAAAGACATTCAAACCATAGCACAGGAGCTATCTCAGCTTCTTCTTGCTTGGGAAAGCACAGTGGTTGAAGTCTGCTATTTTGAATCACACAGTGGTTTTATGAGACAGTCACTTTCAGAAATAGGATATGTAAGCAAAATACATCATCTTTAATCAATGCAAAAATCTAGATGAATGTTAGTGATAAGTGGAAAAAGCATTTTTTCTCTAGAGAGATTAAAAATTGGAGGGCATTGTAGCTGTTTGCAAATACTAGGTTGAGTTTTGCCAAAAAAAAAAAAAAAAAAAAAAAAAAAAGAGAGAGAGAGAGAGTCTATCTCTGGTCCTTAGAAATCTAGATGGAATTAAGCAATTCATGAGGAATTTATAACTCCGTAAACATTTTCAATGTCCTTAATTCCAGAATTCCATTCATGAAGCTCTCCTTCCTGCATGCGTGATTTTAAACAAAGATATCATAGTAACCTCGCTTTGAATTTCTGAAATTCGGTACCTATTCTTTGTTCTTTCTTTTTCCTTAGGGTTGAGCTAAGAATGAGTCTCAGACTTTGAGATTACTTTTAAAATAGAAATGAAGATCAAGAAAGGCTACATTTGGCAAAAGTGCATGGAAGAAGGTAGAGAAATATGACACAGTATCTGAAGTCTGGTCAGCTTTGTAACTATCTCCTTCTGAGTGACATCTTGCGTTTCATCAGCCATGAGTCTGAAGATCAGCCTCCATGGAAGAATGCCCGAGGCAAGAGTTTGCAGGGGTGTGTGGAGGTAGTGAGAGTTGGCTTTATAGATTTGAATGGATATTGAGAGCAAAAAATAAAAAAAACACAGGTGCAAAACCAAATGTAAAAGGAAGGAAGAAATTGCCTTTAAATAATATGTGTTCATGACTTGCAGGTTTTGTAGAACAATGTTGTAGGTGTTCTGGAAAAAAAAAGAAATCAAAATAATAGTTTCATGACTTGTGACAAGAACAAGAAGATTAAAGAGTAAGCTGGGAATGAGTAGGGTAAGGGGGAATGGGCCTATTTGGCCCATACCTTTCTTTAGTAAGGCTTAAGAGAGGACTGAGGCATTTATTTGTACAGATGGCAAATCTGAAATCAAAGGAGCATGACACTTTGGAGTTAAGTTATCCCTGGCCTTACATCATGAAATGCGCTGTAGATCAAAACCAAAGCTCTGCCTAGGCTTAAAATAAACTATTTGCTAGAAGCAAACATTCATGTGGCATTTCTGAATTTTGATTAAATTCATGTCAAGAGATTATGAGTAGTCTCTTGAATCTAAAGACCCTTTTGCAGTTGGCAAGATTTACTGCTTCTGAGGACAACATAACAGTAGACAAGTTAGCAGTGCTATTGATGGCAGTCGATGTGTGCTGGCAAAATAAACATCAATCTACTAAGTAGGATGACAGCAGGAGGTACCAGAAGACTGTAACAATAGTCTTAACTGTAAGAAAATGCAATTTCCCCTGCTGTGTTTTATGCCTAGTTTTATATGACTTCAGCGTTATACAAATTAATATTTAATGCAGTTCAACATCATGCTTGTCAAAGAGTAGCACAGGATATAAACTGCAAAATCACACATTTTTTTTTCTGTTTGACAGAGGATAATATCATACCTTTTCCTGTTTTTCGTTGCAGCTGCTTCAAGCTCTGGGGTTGCCTCACCATCAAGGGATCCCCTTTTACAACCAATATTGTTATGTTGATCACACTCACCCAGTGAAGGTGAAAGGAAAGCAGATTTTGTTTTCAAGTGAGAAAAAATACCATGAAATACCATGGATTACTTGAGTGTATTCTGTAGGGGAATGGATTGAGACAACATTGCAATTAAAACATGGACTTCCATTATTTTCTCTTATTCTAAATTTATATTTGAAAAATATAATTTCAGAGGGAAGCACATGCTAAAAACCCAGAAAGACTTTCCTCGGCTTGTTTTCTGTTTTCTAATATGCTTGTGGCTTGGTCCTAGGGCAGGAGGATGGGCAGGTCAAGGAAAGTGTTTAGTAACCTCCTTTCACCTAAAGGGAAAAGAGACAGTGAGCTCATAAGCAACTGAGTCATGATTTACAACAGACTTCCCACTATCCATAAGAGGTGGGTGGTAGCCCCATCTATTAGGCTTCTTGGGAAAACTGAGACACTTTTTCCTATTTTCTTAATTTGAAGTTAACTTAGTTATTTTTCTTACCCTGCAGATGGGTTGGTGCTTAGTGAAACTTACCTGTCGTTTGTCAGAATGGCCATGGGTACATAATTGATGATGACCTGTCATAGGCAAAATAATGAAGCAGGCAAAGTTTATCATTACTTTTCATCTACTTATCCTTTCTAAATTCCTTTTCACATTTTCAGGCCGATTTTCTATGCTTATTATCAGTCCTTTGCTCTAACCAGATCAGTTTTCATGTGGAAATACATATTCGGAACTTTTTTCTTTCCTATTAAAATTTTCCCTCAATGTCCTTGCTTCAACTGAATATTAAAGGAATATTCTGGTGGAAAATTTTAATCTAATTTACTCTATAGTCAAAAGCATTTGTCATAATTAGCCAGATTTCTACCATTTCCAGGCATTAGGGGTAGCTGGTGAGAAAGTACTATGGTCAGAAGGGGTCTTCCCAATAGCCTCATAATTATCACACATGGAGAGTGATATAGCGTAGTCATAAGCTTTTGTCTCTGTATAGCACCTCCTTCCTCCAAGTTTCTCAAACTGGAATACGTGGAATCATCCTTGATGCCATTCTTTCCTTCACATCCCCCATCCAATCACTGGCAAATCCGGTAAATTCTGACTTCATATCCTGAATCTGCCACTGATCACCACCTTCAGTGTGATTCCCTTTTCACTTGTCCTTTGCTTTAGTCTCCTGACTCAGTCATTCTAAAATGGGTAACACCTTCTTCTGGAAGCACTTTCAAAACCTATGGGGCTGTATTCATTGATTAGAGGGGTTGAAGAAGATATTAATCCTTTACCGAGCAGTGGGGGCTAGTGATGCACAGGAAAGTACACCAGAATAAATAATTATCCTTCACTCTGCTTGACTTTTAAGTGCCTCGCATTCTTGGTCATGTCTGAGCCTAGAATCTCATTCTATTTTACTTACAAACATAAAGTAGCTTGGCCCCATGTTTCCCCCGCTAAAATACGTAGGATTTTTCAGGAATATAACTGCTGTGTAAATTAAAAGTTTAAGTGTTGTTTGAAACTTTACTAGGATTATTTTCATCACTTCAGACGATGACATTATTATTGGCCATGCAGTTTTTTTGTCCTTGAGTTGCCAGTATAAGACATCTGGATTGGTCAGCTCTTTTAGCTTTCATAATTTTGGTACACATACACATGAGTGTCAAAATCTGATCACTCATTACTGTTTTTTAATGTATTTTTTGCAGAAAAAGACATATGTCAAAATAAATGGTTTTTAAAATAAATTGTTTTTCATTTATTGCTCATTTGTATTATAAATAGGAATTTCAATTTTTGATAATTTTTTTTTTAATTTTTAGAGAGACACTCTCACTATATTGGTAGGAGTGGTCTTGAATTTCTGGCCTCAAGTGATCCATCTTGGCCTCCCAAGGTGTTGGGATTACAGATGTAAGCCACCATGCCTAGGTTAAATTTTGATTTACTTTGGTAATCATTTGTGTAGGTAGTTCAGATTTATTTAAAATGATTAAAAAAAGGGCATTTATGTTTGTTAATTTAAAAAAAGCACTGGATTTTTGGGGTTGAGAATCACCCTCCTAATTGGTCTCTTCTTTTTCCTCCCTACTGACAACTCTCCCCATGGAAGCCAGAGTTAGCCTATTAGCACTGTAGTAGACTCTGCCGTCTTCTTCACCATAGTTCTCAAATGGCTCCCCATATCACTTAGACTAAAATCCCAAATGAAAATCTGTGTGGTCTTTCCCTAATATCTTTGCTGCTTCACCACCTCCTGCAACAACCCCAACTCATTCGTCTTTAGCAAATGCTGATCTCCTTGCAACTGTTCTCACACATCCAGCAAACACCCACCTGGGAATATTTGAGCTTTTTCTTTTGCAAGAAATGTCCTTCATCCAGATAGCCTGATGGCAGTGCTGGGCTCCATTCAGGTCTCTGCTCAAACATCTTCTTTCCTATAAAAAACAGTGTTTAGACTCCCTGACTCGATCTTTTCCTTCACTTTGATTTTACTTTTTTCACAATGTCCATTAGCTCCTAATATATTATGTACTTATATATTTTTTGTCTCTTCTCCTCAGTACAGTATAAGAAATAGGATGGCAGAAACTTGGTCTGTTTTATTTCCCACTTTATCAGTGATGCCTAGAATGGTGCTGGCACATAATGGTGACTGGATTGTATTGCATGAATAAGTGAGAGTCTATGCTTTCAAATTCATTTGAATCCTGAATGTGTCATTTATTGAGTGTGAGATCATCTGCAATTCAGCTTAAAGTCTCAAATATTACATCTCATTTAAGATGCCCACTTCATAGGATTACCGTAAAGGCTAAGAAGCGTAATTTACACAAAGCCCTTATGACAGTGTGTGAAATATACAAATATTCAATTTCAAATACCATATATTTATCCTATCTATCCATCTATCTATTATCTATGTATCTAATCTAATCATCTAACCATTTTTCTATCCAACTGTGTATTTGCTTATCCTCATATGCTCTCTCTCATAACTGTCCTGCTTCTTCTGACAATTCACAGATTTGTCAAATTCACGCCAGTGTGCCTTCAGTCATGCAATTATTAAGATTTGTGCACCTTGTGGGTATGCACAGGGTCTGGAAATGATTCTCTGAAGAAGACAGAAACTTGTATTATCTGTTAGATGTAATAAAAATATTGATATAGAAAAATTCTCTGGGAGTAAATAATACATAGTATCATATTATCATTAGTCTATTCTGGAAAATTTTTTCACCTAATTGATCTATTTTACTGGATCTATGTTTTCTTCTGTATCTGCAATTATTATAGAAATTTAATTCATGAAAATGTGTTTGACTGTTGCCAGATAGGACAAATTGACCATGATAATGTTGCTACTTATGCATATAGGTACATTTATACAATTATTCAAGTAATTAGACAAGTTTATTTTCAGTAGGAGCAATAATTAAAATCATATTTCTAACAAATTGAATGAAAGGATTTGGTCGAGTAAAGACATAGAAGTAATCAGGCACACAGATGACTTCCTCAGTTCTCTCACTTTTAATCCTTCTCTTTTTCTGTAGTTCATCCCCGGGATTTTTGCCTTATCTGAGTCATTAAGGTAAATAGCACTTTGTAGTTTATGTTCCCGTTTAGAAAAAGACAGTGCAGCCCGCTGCCAGAGCTCATTTAATTTTACATAAACATGCTCTTTAATAGTCTATTTTGGAAAAAATGGATTCATCCAATAAATCTTCGACCAACAACTGTTCGAGAACAATGTTAACATCATGCGCAAGAATGCTATGTTTTCTAGGATTTGCCATTTTCAGCGGTTGAGAATTACCATACTTTGTAAATGGAAACACTACTACTAAAACCAGAATGCTACCAATAGAATAATGTCTTTTGTTTTCAAAGTCAATATACTAGAGAGATGTGGAAATCATAATAAAAGCGAGAGATTTTGTGGTAAGGTTATCTCGGGGTAAATGCTGCAGCTGCATGTGCTGCTGGTGAGTATTCTCGGGGCAAACAGGAAAAGAGATAACTTACTGGTTATATGCAGGCAAATGTCTGGTTACTAAATTACAAATATGTTGCTCCTGTTACTGAAGTTTGGGTAAGAAAGTTACCTATTTTTGCATATATCATAATTAAATATTAAACATAAAAGGCAATGACTATTTTATGCATAAACTGATTTCTTAGAAAAAAATTCAAAACCAATTGCAAAATTATTTGTGATAGTGAAAAAAAGAAACAATTCAGTTCAAAAGGAGATTGTTTTTCAAAAGGAGAAATGCGGCATAACTGTGTATATTCAGTATTCTGTTAATTAAAACATACATATTTACCTCTGTATTTCAAACTGTTGAGTGATTTTTACTTCGAGATTGGAGTTGTGAAATAATTTTATTTTCTACATATTTCAACTTGATAAAGTTTGATCATCATATAATAATAAATCAATGCAGGTTATAATCCTTTGATATAGCTAGATAAACTTTGTAGAAAAATTATACTGGCATTAAGTATACTTTTCTATAATTTCTGAGTTGGAAGAGCTTATAAATTCAGTTCTATACTTCTAGGAAGAATGTAATTTGTAGCTCACATAAATAGAGTACTTGGACAAGCTATTTAACCTTTCTAAGCCCGTTTTCTCACTTGTAAAATGAAGATATAAGAGTAACTACCTCAAAGATAGTAAAACTGAATAGGAGAATTACTACTCACACTAAATGCCATGTCAAAGAAAACTATTGGCCTGACTTTTAAATCAGAACAAGAAAGCCCTTTCAGAAGAATAGGGGACACAGAAGAAATACTGATTATTAGTGGTTGCAGCCTTTGCCTGCTCTCTAGAACTTCGTGTCTGTTTCTTCTTTCATATACTCAAATGGACATTATTATTCCACAGCAGCTTCTGCTGGGCCTTTTCCCTAAGCTCACTGGAAACTAATATTTTCTCTTCAGAAGCTAGAGGAATTTGTCCAGCTTTCCAGCAAGCATCTAAGAAAGGTTAAATACCGTTGCTCTAGACAAACTCATCCCATCAGGACTTAGTACCAAATGTGTAACAGAGAGGTGTGTGTTCAACATTGAGTCACAGAAAAGACAGGAACGGAGCTGCGTCCATTGTAACCCACTGTGTGTAATCAAAGTCTCCCCAGGTTTTGTGTTTATGTGACTAAAAAAGAATAGTCTCATTCAAACAAACATCTTTATAATATTGGCTCATTGCCTCCCACTTGAATAAAAGCAGAGCCTTAGCTCCTTTCCTCCCCTAAATCTTACTAATTATTTATGAAAGTCTCGGGGTTTGTTATATATCTATGACTGGCACATCATATTCTTCCACAGCAAAATAACATATTGACATTTACTGCCTAAGTAGTCACTGGTGCAAGCAACTTGCTTTGGCATCTATCCTCTGCAATAAAGAGAAACATTCTCTACAGTTCTAACCTTGGAACTGTATTTCCCGGATTCTGACTCCCTGACTGGCAGGTTTCAAGTTTGATTTAGATTTTGCACTGAGATGTACTTATGGAGGATTTGTAAGGTGAAAGGATGCAAAGGTGTTTTCTTCTCCCTCAGTGGTGGCAGTTGGTAAGTAGACTTCTGCAGACACTGATTTTTGCTATTGTAGAGTTCAGTGTTCTGCTGCCTGGTTTCAGGCTTTGGGGCTGTGGGCATTTGGGGAGTTGGCAGCTATGTCAGGAGGCTTTTTCACCTCTGGGTGGCAGCAGAAGTTTTCTGATCTCTCACAATGGCAGTAGTATAGCTTGAAATCTAATAGAAGCCCCATGACTTCTGTTCACCCAATCCTTCTAACTAGTTTGTACGCATCACCTTCCTTGTAATAAATCTCTTTCCATACAGAAATATTAGAGGAGTCTCTGGTTTTTGCCATGGATCCTAAAAGACATTGCTTTATTTTCATGCCCCCAGCCTGATGGTAATTCAATGTCTCTGCTCCTTCAATTTCTGGTTCTGCACTTCTCAGAAGCAACAGAAAGAAGAGTATAAACACACAGGAAATTTCTGTGGCCAGTCTGGGAGCAAGCATGCACCATTTCTACTCACACTCCATTAGAAGTCAGTCACATGCCCACATCTAATTTCAAGTGAGCTGGGGAAAGTTAATCTAGCTGTGGCCCAGGAAGAAGAGGGAATTAGTTTTATAATCAGCTAGCACCCTCCAACACGTAGAGTTTTAATTATTGTGTTTTAGCTGAATTACTACAAATTGTATCTTTAGAGGAAATTTCAATATGTTCAAAATATATTTCTTCAATATCCATTATGGATTCTCTGAACTGCAAATGATATCTTCCCATTAGCTTTATCTTATAACATTGTCTGAAATATACTTCTATGGAAATATGTTCATGTTGGGACATGGTAGTCATATACATCTATAAGTTCATTTAAAACATTACTGAACACTTTTCTATCTAATGTTTATATGAAACAATCACTATTGCAGACAAGCTCTTTATGGTCATTAACTCAAGAAAAAAAGAATAACAAAGTTAATTCAGCCAAATTACTATCATAGTGCAATTTGCTCTGCATATTTCATACTTCAGTATATGAGGTCATGACTCACTTCTGTTTATATGAGACTAGAAGAATACTTTTCACTGACTTCCTTTTATGAATATGAAGAGCATTAATGTGGCAAATAAGATGGACTCACAAGACAGAGCTTATTAACTTACTATGAGTCAAAAGAGCCTCTCATTTTAGAAGATGATGCTAGAGATAAAAGGATAAGAACAAGAAGAAAATTCACATTGGAATCAATCTTTTAAAAAATATAGTGACAGAACTCTTTACTTCAGTGACTTTATTTCTGAGACAGAGTCAGGTGTTTCTTGGGTAATAGACACAGTAGATTGTTTCCTGTATTACTCTCCTCTCATCTTCTAAAATTGGAGTGTTTTTATTTCTATTCAGAGAAATGAAGAACTAGCACTGCTTCTGAATCTTTCCACCTTCAGGACCCTGAAGTAAGTCCAAGATGTGCTGGCAGGTGATTTTAGGTCAATGAAACTGTCATTTTCTCGCTAAAGAAAGGAAGAAACTCTATCTTCCTGTACCACGGTTTTCCTTTCTTGTTAGTGGTTGGCTGAGCATTGTGAACATAACAGTTGGGGAAACTAGGAAGGGAGTGGTAATTGTTGTACATCGTGCCCTTTTTGTGCTTCTTTGTTCCTAGGCTGTGATCTCATGATTTGTTCCAGGGAACATTCACGCTCTCAAAGCTGAGGAAGAAAACTTACGGGCCAACAGGGATTTTAGCTGATGTTTTGAACATGCAAAAATGGTGCTGTTGGAAATAACCAAGACACATGGAGCCAATCACCGTGTAATATTCATGATTATGTAATAAAGTGATCGTATTTCTAATCAGTTTAGGATATGGGCTAAATGTCTAAGTATAAGGCATCAGGGAGATAAATGACGATAACAAACTTTTCTTCTTTTCACTCCCTTTCACAACCCACAGAGTAGTTCCTTGCTTGCTGAGCTGTGGGGGTCACCTTTCCCTATGCCTTCAAGGGTCCCACCTTTATACACATTGTCACAGTGTGATTTGCTTTACCATGTGGTAACTCACATAGCAAGCCCACCTCATCTTTTCACATCAAGTAGATTGGTGAACCATGAAACAACAGCACTACTATTTCATCTACATATTCACGAAGAGGCGCTGCCTCTTTGAGGCAAAGTCTAGAACAGAATTTTCCTATGATACCTGGTAGGTTGCACAGAACTATAGCAATCAGGTGTGAGACCAACAAAACATAATGTTCACTTCTTTCTTTTTTAAGAGACAGGGTCTCACTCTGTTGTCCAGGCTGGAGTGTAGCTGTGCAATCATGGCTCACTGCAGCCTCGAACTCCTGGACTCAAGGGATCCTCCCATCTTAGCCTACTGAGTAGCTGGGACTATAGGCACACACCACTACACTGGATAATTTTTAATTGTTTTTTTGTAGAGACAGGGATTTTTTATGTTGCTTAGGCTGGCCTGGAACTCCTGGCCTCAAGCAATCCTCCTGCCTCAGCCTCCTAAAGTGCTGGGATTACAGGCCTGAGCCACCATGCCTGGCCCACAGTGTTTATTTCTAAAAGGAGTCAGGGACATTCCAGTGTAAAACTGGTCATATAGATCTTCAATCGCATAGCTAAGGTACTTTTTGAGTAGCTGGGTATCTCATAGTAGTCAAGGAATATACAAGCATACTTCAAAGATATTGTGGGTTCCATTCCAGACCACCACAAGAAAATGAATACCACAACAAAGAGAGTCATATGAATTGTTTGGTTTTCCAGTGCGTATAAAAGTTATGTTTTGGGGTCGGGCGTGGTGGCTCATGCCTGTAATCCCAGCACATTGGGAGGCTGAGGCAGGCAGATCACGAGGTCAGGAGGTCGAGACCAGCTTGGCCAACACAATGAAACCCCATCTCTACTAAAAATACAAAAAATTAGCTGGGCATGGTGTTGGGTGCCTGTAATCCCAGCTACTTGGGAGGCTGAGGCAGAAGAATTGCTTGAACCCAGGAGGCGGAGGTTGCAGTGAGCCGAGATCACGCCATTGCACTCCAGCCTGGGCGACAGTGCGAGACTCTGTCTCAAAAAAAAAAAAGAAAAAAAAGTTATGTTTTTACTATACTGTAGTCTATTCAGTGTGTAATAGCATTATCTCTAAATAAGAAATGTACATAACATAATTTAAAATGTTATTGATGAAAAATGCAAACAATCATCTGGGCCTTAAGTGAATTGTAATCTTTTGCTGGTGTAGGGTCTTGCATCAGTGTTGATGATTGCTGACTGACCAGGGTGATGATTGTGGTAATTTCTTAATATAAGACAACAATGAAGTTTGCTGCATTTATTGATTCTTCCTCTCATGAAGGATTCGTATATAGCATATAATGCTGTTTGATAGCTTTTTACTCACAGCAGAACTGCTTTAAAAATTGGAGTCAGTTCTCTCAAACCCTGCTGCTGTCTTATCAACTAGGTTTATGTAATATCCTAAATTCTTAGTTGTCATTTTAACAATGCATATAGCATCTTCACCAGGAGTAGATTCTATCTCAAGAAACACATTTCTTTGCTCATCTATCAGAAGAAACTACTCATTCATTAAAGTTTTATCATGAAATTGCTGCAGTTTTGTCACAGCTTCAGGCTCCACTTATAATTCTATTTCTTTTGCTATCTCCACCACATCTGCAGTGACTCCCTCCACTGAGGTCTTGAACTCCTCAAAGTCACCTATAAGGGTTGGAATCAACTTTTTCCAAACTGCTGCTCATGTTGCTATTTTGACCTCCTTCCATGAATCATGACTGTTCTTCATCACATCTAGAATGGTGAATCTTTTCCAGAAAGAAAAAAATATTTTTCCCAGATCCGTCACTATCTATGGCAGCTATAACCTTATGAAATGTATTTTTCAAATAATAAGACTTGAAAGTCAAAATTACTCCTGGATCCACGGGCTGCAGAATGAATGTTGTGTTAGGAGACTTGATAAACAGCATTGATCTCCTTGTGTGTTGCCATCAGAGTTCCTGGTTTACCAGGTGCTTTGTCAATGAACAGTAATATTTTGAAATAAATCTTTTTTTCTAAGCAACAGCTTTCAACAGTAGGTTTAAGATAGTCGGTAAACCATACTATAAACAGATATGTTGTCATCCATGCTTTGTTGTTCCATTTACAGAGCATAGGCGAAGTAGTTTAGCCTAATTCTTAAGGGCTCTAGGATTTTCAGAATGGTAAATGGGCATTGACTTCAACTTAAAGGTTTAACTGCACTAAACCCTAACAAGAGAGTCAGCCTGAGCTTTGAAGCTTTGAAGCCAGGCATTGACTTCTCCTTTCTAGCTATGAAAGTCCTCAATGGCATCTTTTTCCAACAGAATGCTGTTTTATCTACATTGAAAATCTGATGTTAGTGTAGCCGTCAATTGTCTTAGCTAGATCTTCTGGATAACTTGCTACAGCTTCTCCAACAGCACTTGCTGCTTCACCTTGAACTCTTAGGTTATGGAGACACATTCTTTCCTTAGACCTCACAAACCAATCTCTGTTAGCTTCATAATTTTCTTCTGCACCTTCCTCACCTCTCTCAGTCTTCATATAATTGAGGAGAGTTAGGGCTTGGCTGTGGATTTAGCTTTGCCTGAAGGGAATGTTACAACTGGTTTGATCTTTTATCCCAATCACTCAAATTTTCTCCGTATCAACAATAAGGCTGTTTTGCTTCCTTATCATTCATATGTTCCCTGGAGTAGAATTTTTAATATTCATCAAAAATGTTTTCTTTGCATTCACAACTTGGCTAACTGCTTGGTACAAGAAGCCTAGCTTTTGGCCTACCTCAGTTTTCAAACTGCCTTCCTCACCACTCTTAGTCATTTCTAGCTTTTGATTTCAAGTGAAGTATGTGTAACTCTTCCTTTCACTTGAATTCTTGGAGACATCATAGGATTATTAATTGGCCTAATTTCAATATTGTTGTGTCTTAGGGAACAGGGAGGCCCGAGGAGAAGGAGAGAGATGGGGGAACAACCGGTTGGTGGAGCAGTCAGAACACACATAACAAGTACTGATTAAGTTTGCAGTCTCATATGGAAACAGTTTGTGGTGCCTCAAATCAATTACAATAGTAACATCAAAGACCACTGATCACAGATCACCATAACAGATATAACAACAATGAGTTTGAAATATTGTGAGAATTACCAAAATGTGATACAGAGACACAAAGTTGGAGAACTATTGTTGGAAATATGGCACTCATAGACTTGCTTAATGCAGGGTTGCCACAAACTTTAAATTTGTATAAAACGTAATATCTGCAAAGCACAATAAAGCAAAGTGCCATAAAACAAGGTGTGCCTGTGTTACCATTCATGGAGAAGCCTGTGGGAAGAATTTGAAGATATTTCTATTTCTTCATGTGCAATAGAATCAAATACCTGCCAGATGGAAGTAAATACTGTTCATTGTTTCCCATCCACTTATCCACTGTACTTGCAGTTATTCACTTTTCCTTTTATTATTTGTTGGTTATATGTTAGAGTCATATTATGTTAGAAAATTATACACTTAAATCTTTTTTTCTTTTTTTTTCTTTTTTTTTTTTGAGAGGAGGTATCACTCTGTCACCCAGACCGGACTGCAGTGGTGCAGTCATGGCTCACTGCAGTCTCAATCCTGGGCTCAAGTGTTTCTCCCATGTCAGCTACCCATATCCCAGTGTGGCTGGAACTACAGGCACGCACCACCATGCTCAGATAGTTTTTTGTGTAGTTTTTGTACAGACGGGGTTTTGCCATGTTGCTCAGGCTGGTCTTGAACTCCCGAGCTCAAGCAATCTGCCCACCTTGGCCCTCCCGAAGTACTGGGATTACAGGAGTGAGCTGCTGCACCTGGCCCATTTAAATTTTCTTAATGTAGATAACATGTAAAGGATATACAGTGTGAGGCTGGTAGGCAGATAGGCAGGTAGATAGATGCAAAAAACTTGTCATAAAATGCCAAGGTTTTGAAGTTGCTACATACCATAACATATCCTGTCTTATATACCACCAATTTGAAGAGTGAGGTGTTTTGGGCATCTCCATCTGAAACTCAGAATAAATTTTCCCAGAGAAGTATCAGTTAAATAACAAATGACATGATATACCGGAAAGAGAATAGAATTTCAAGCTGAAGAGCATTTGTTTTCATTTCAGCCTGGCTACTTAGTTTTGGTACACTGATTTGCTTTAATCATTTCGGTTTTCTATCTATCACACTGGTCATAAACATCAAATGAGGTGATGTCCAACAAATAATTTAGTTAGCTTTATAACGCCTATAAAATTTAAGATATAATCATCAATTTTTAATTATGTGTGGCATAATTAAAATAATATTTTTATGGTTTTATTTCTAAACTATTTATGACAAACTGTGAATTAAATTAAGATTGGTTCATGTAGGTGTGATTTAAAATTATAAATTAAATAACATTAACTGTTGCCATTATCAACCACATTAACATCTCCCTGAAAGTGGAGTCTATTTTCCAACTTATGTTCCTAATATCTATACTAATTTACATATAGTTGATACTAAATAAGGACAATAGGGTAAAAAATGGAGACCTGTCAATGTGTAAAAATATTATCTAGAAAACAAAATGAGTATTTCAGAATATTATTTAAAAATAAAATATCAGTTAAAATAAGCTGACTTTTTAAAAAGTGAAATTTGGATTGTTGAATGATCATTTGGAAACAAGTATGGGAACGGTCTTAAAAAGCAACCTAAATTTTTAATGAACCAACAATTTTTTTATTATACTTTAAGTTTTAGGGTACATGTGCACAACGTGCAGGTTTGTTACATAGGTATACACGTGCCATGTTGGTGTGCTGCACCCATTAACTCATTATTTACATTAGGTATATCTCCTAATGCTATCCCTCCCCGCTCCCCCCACCGCACAACAGGCCCCAGTGTATGATGTTCCCCTTCCTGTGTCCAAGTGTTCTCATTGTTCAATTCCCACCTTTGAGTGAGAGCATGCGGTGTTTGGTTTTTTGTCCTTGCGATAGTTTGCTGAGAATGATGGTTTCCAGCTTCATCCATGTCCCTACAAAGGACATGAACGCATCATTTTTTATGGCTGCATAGTATTCCATGTGAACCAACAATTTAAATATAAAAAATTAAATCCTAAAATAACTAGCAAAGAGTCCAAGGATTATATAAACTTGGAGAGTAGAAGGCATTTCTAAAGATAATACTGAAATTAAAAGACAATTAAGAAAAGTGATGATATGATTTGACTACATAAAAGTTAAACTTATATGTATGGAAATTAAACACAATAATATTCAAAATATGGATTATACAGTTGGAAATTTTTGCAAGATTTATAATAAATGATGAGGTATTAGTCTTAATATTTATTAATAATAGTAAAACAAAGAGAAATCTCCAACTGAAAATTTATCAATGAACATCGTGTTAATCAGCTTTGCTGCAGTAGCTAATGTTATGGCTTACCATAATGTTTTACAGTGGAACTTCAGGTCTCTGTGGGCTGATACAGGTCTGTTCCATGTTATTTTACCCAGGGATTCAGACTGTAGAAGCAACTTCCATTTGGGATGTGCCATTGTTTTCACAGAAAAAATAGAGCAAGAGTATTTGTGGTTTTATGCCATGGCTTTCTAACTTTCTACTCATACATGAACAACATTATGTCTTTTCACGTAAGAGGGGATAAACTATTCTCAATGCCATCAAGGCAGAGATGTATACAATTTCTGCAGAAGGCTTTAAAAAATCATATGGTATTAGGTGTAGTTGTAGAATCCATATATAAAAAAGGGGGCAAATATGTGGAACCAATAATAAAGGTTATCATCATAGATACGGACAACTCATAAAAGTATAAATAATAATTGGCCAGTAGTATAAACATGTGTAGCCCAAATAGTAAAAAATGCAAATGATAATATAATGGTGCCTCTTGGTACAGATGAGGAAATAAATAATTTTAACTTCTCTGATGATGATTTGATCATAAATATCAGTAACTCTACTTCTAGCCTCTCTTTGATTAGAATTTAAGATTGTAAGAAAATAAATTTCAAAAAATTACTACAAGGACATTTATCACAAGGTAGCTTATGAAAGCACTACACTGGACATCTACTCGATGTCCCATTGAATTGCTGGGAATTGTTGAAATAAATTATAGCCCACTCCATTTAATAAAATACTACAATGCCATTCAAAATTACAGCCTGAAATTGTATTTATGATGTCAGTAAATTCAAGATCTTCAGTCCGTTTTGTGAAATAACACCCCTGAATCAATGAGTTTACCCATTATATTACCTGTGCTTGTTTCTAATTATTCAAATAATGGATAACTTCTTCTTTGAACAAGTTTGCATTTTTAAAATTATTTGACAATGAACAGACAGTGCATAGAATTAAAATTTTTTTAAAAATTGGGTCTAATGCAAGTGCATAAATTTTAGTAGATGTTGCCTTCAAAAGACACAACATTTTGTCTCTGTGTTCAAATCTAAAGAAAAGACAAGTTAAAAACAGTGATCAAAGCTGGCTACTCTGGATAACCCCTTCCAAAGCTTTGTCAAGTGAAGCATTTTTAGACATTTCAGACACACACACTGTGCACCATTCACTTGCTCTCTGTCAGAGTCTTCTGTGTCCTATAATTTTAAACTCTAAAAATACTCAGTGGTGAAATATTGATTTTCTCTCTAATTTTGCTCAGACTTTAGTTGGATGCCTGGTAAGGATTTCATTCTGAGATCAGTACTTGACCCTGCGCTTTGTTCTTTAGTAAGGAAACACATTGTATCTTTATTCTTCCACCTCAGGTAGTCTATGTCTTTTTCTTGGCATTCGTATTGTCACTGTGCATCAAAACCAGGAATCTTATTTTACTTTAAAATCAGCTAATGATAAAATATCCAAGGTGTTTACAGATTTTCTAAGAAAGCAAGCACATATTAGCTATAAGGTAGAAATCATATTTATTATTTATTTATTCATAGGTAAATTGCCATGAACTAAACTAAGCAATGTTTAAAAATGTGTAAAAATTCATCTGAATATTAATTATAATGAGTAACTAAATTACAATCTCCCTGAGGCCCAGAGATGTTATTTGCTCATTTTAAAAATTTATACATCGTATTTAGTATGTAGCTGGTACATTATGGAAGAGAATAGAAAGATCAAGGAACACACACAAGCATATGTAAGAATTTAATTCATCATTTTTTAAAACTAATTTATTTTTAACTATTTTATATATATATATGTTTTCTTAATAAATATTTACCAAACAGCTATTGTATCCTAGGTATTGTTCTGTTTACTAGGATTATAAAATGGAGCAAAGTTGACGACCCTTTTAAATTTATTGATCTTCCATTTTAATGGAAGGATATAGAATAAATTCAATACTTTCAATCACTGGAAAGAGTGATCGATGAATAAATGAAATTTAGGTAAATTAAACCCAGTACAAATGAGGCAGGAGTATATTCTGTAGGAGACCCTGAAAAGTCATACGGCATTGAGTGCCACAGTTTAGGGAAAAATAAGTTTGGGATGGATTAAAACTTTAAACATTTTACAGAATCCTTGGTTTAATAAATTTGACTAGAGATTAGATTAGAATAAATCCCTACTTTCTTTGGAAGACTTCCAATATAGCATGAAAGCTATATATTTTAATAATAAGAAAGAGGCTAAAAGTACCAGTTTTATGGCAGGAGGAAGATTGCAACACACCAGTTGTAAGACGATGCCTGTCTGGATTAGTATTCCACTGATACTTTTCTTTATCCTCATTGAATTTTTGGCTCTGTACATTTATATCTGGGTAATCAAGAAGTATAAAAGTACCACATACACCCAACTCCTTTCAGCCAATGACACACTAAGGCGTCTTCTGGATCAAGACATTTCTTGATAGCCTGAATATTGTGTTGATTCCACATTTGTACCTATAAACTTTCTTTTCTTTTCTTTTTTCTTTTTTTTTTTGAGATGGAGTCTTGCTCTGTTGCCCAGGCTGGAGTGCAATGGTGCAATCTCAGCTCACTGCAACCTCCGCCTCCCGGGTTCAAGCAATTCTCCTGCCTCAGCCTCCCCAGTAGCTGTGACTACAGGCACCTGCCATCATGCTCGGCTAATTTTTTTGTATTTTTGTAGAGACGGTGTTTCACCATGTTGACCAGGCTGGTCTTGAACTCCCAACCTCAGCTTATCCACTCACCTTGGCATCCCAAAGTGCTGGGATTACAGGCATGAGCCACTGCGCCCGGCCTGTACCTATAAACTTTCTATGATTTCTTGTTTGCTCTGAATTTATGTAATGTATATTGGAGATAAATTGAGTTTTCGTTATCATACATACACCGATGTTGTGTCACTTATGGGTATTTAGGGAAAATCAGGGGAAACTAATATCTAAATAGGAATTCTACTCTTAAAATTAACTACAAATAATATTTTATCTCATACGACAATAGTAATTTCCCTGTTTCATAAATTATTAAATTTGAAATTGTATTAATTCATTTTCTTTAAGTATTATGTTTCCATTTCTATTAATTTAGGTGAGTCTATAGATCTTAAGTAAAACTGAAAACAATACTAGAGGAGAAATTAGAAATTTCTAAGAACTTTGTAACATAATATTACAGTGATGAACAAATTTTAAATTGGTATAAATATTAGTTTAACTTAGCTAGAATTTCAAAGACATAAAAGTCTATGCAAATAGTTAAAATTGAATAAAAGAGGCAAAAAAGGAGAATATCCAAAACAGTATGGTATTTAGTTTTTATCACTAAATGATGAGAGAATTGGTGAAATGAGCACATTATTTGTAGGCTAAAATAGAGGAGTGTTAGAAACCCATTGTCCCATTGTTTTCTAAAGTAAATATCGAATATTTTAAAAAGATTTTATACAACTTATTCAGAAGACAACTACTATAAAAATCCGTTTAAAAATTTCGGTGATATAGAATATTATTCATACTAATATTCAAATAAAAATAAAATCCTCCTTGCTCTATTTGTAGATATTTTATGCGTTTCAATATAAATTATTTGGCAATATATAAGTCCAAATATGTCTTTTATGTCTTAATATTTTTCAAATACAGATTTTAAATAATAACAACGTATAAATTACAATTATGTTTGCTTTTTATTTTTTGCTGTGTCTTTGTATGTGTGTGTGTGTGGGGGTGGGGGGGGGAGAGGGAGAGAGACCCAATATCAGAATTTTTAAAATTCCCTATATAACTACATTGCTTTTTTTTTTTAAATTATACTTTAAGTTCTAGGGTACATGTGCACAACGTGCAGGTTTGTTACATATGTATAATGTGCCATGTTGGTGTGCTGCACACATTAACTCATCATTTACATTAGGTATATCTCCTAATGCTTTCCCTCCCCCTTCCCCCACCCCACAACAGGCCCCAGTGTGTAATGTTCCCCTTCCTGTGTCCAGGTGTTCTCATTGTTCAGTTCCCACCCATGAGTGAGAACACGCGGTGTTTGGTTTTTTGTCCTTGCGATAGTTTGCTGAGAATGATGGTTTCCAGCTTCATCCACGTCCTTACAAAGGACATGAACTCATCATTTTTTATGGCTGCATAGTATTTGTGGTTTTTCAAGTTATCATTTGATTATTTCTAATTGTGCTGTTCAAATCTATATTTTCCTGTTTATTTCTATTTGTCCTATCGATAGAGAGAAGTATATTAACATTTCTAAATAAGTATTTAGATGTATCATTAATATTCTTTCTGTCAATTTTTTGCTTTATGTATTTTTAGCTGGTGTGATTAAATTTATACAAATTTATAACATACTCTCTTCCTGTTGAATTGACTGTTTAAACATTATAAAATATTCCTCTTAAATGCATTATCTTTATGTAGAAAGTCTATATATGTTTTTGAAATCCCCTTGTTGAAATATAATTATCTATCCTCATGTTGTGTGTAGACTGTGGTTTACCCACATTATACACAATAAGTGTGGCACAGAGTAGAGTACATATTGGAGAGTTGTTGGTCAAAGGGTACAAAGGTGCAGAGAAAAAGGAAGAATAAGTTTTGAGCTTTATTACACAGCACAGTGACTATAGTCAATAATAATGTATTGTATATTTCAAAATAACTCAGAGAGTAAATTTTAAAATCTCCCCATAAAAAAGTGTTAAGTGTGGTGATGGATATGCTAATTAGCTTTAATCATTCCACATTGTATAGATATATCAAAACATCACATTCTGTGCCATAATTGAATGTAACTGTGATTTGTCAATTAAAATAATATTAGTAAACATAGGCTTTATGTAAAATGTTCTCATTTTTCTTCCAAATCATGAGATTTCTTTGTACCTGTATATCATGCATGCTTTGATATGGGTCAATACTTATTATAAAAGAGTCTGGGAAAGGACTTGACAGCCTTAGTTTGGTAATGATGAAAGGATTTATTTTTATTCTAAGGTATTAGAGAAGTGTATATAGAGTGAAGTAAGTAGAGGCTTTAAGGAAAAGAGGTGAGAAGCCCAACCATTCTTTTTTCCATTAGCAGTGTACTTTGGAGGCATGAGCTATTATCTTCACAGATAACTGTGGGAAGATAGTAAGCAGCTGGAGTTGACAGAAGAGGTAGAATTAAAGGCAGATCACAGACTTGCTGAATCAAAGACTTGCTTATAAGTCAGGAGCGAACTGTAGAATACAGATTTTCAGGAAGTTTTGGGACAGGGTTGCTCTTTTTCTCTCCAACACCTATTCAGTTCAGTTTAGAAAACTGATACTTACCACCAACCATGTTCTAAATGTCCCTAAGTGCTGAGATTCAAAGACAAATAGATGCAGTTGCAAATCTTCAGATATTTGTCATCTAGTGAACAAAACACAAATAAATATTTTGAAACAAAGTAAAAGAATATGAGGACTCAGACAATTAGACACCAACAAATACCTGTACACAATGAACTTGTAATGCAAAACAGGGGTTGGTTAAAAAGGGAGAGAGTAAATAGAGGGGTGAGTAGTAACAACTAAGTAAACACTTGTTTATTGAATCTTAAAAATGACAGAGGAGGCTTGGGGAAATATCAGTCCAAGGATATAAAATCTCAGTTAGAAAGGAGAAATAAGTTCAAGAGATCTATTGTACAATACAGTGACCATAGTTAATAACAGTGTATTATATACTTTAAAATTGTAAAGACAGTAGAATTTACACATCCTCACCACAAATAAATAAGTACGTGAGTCATTGCATATGTTAATTAGCTTTTTTAGCCATTCCACAATGTATGCATATGTCAAAACATGTTGTGCACAATAAATATACAAAATTTTTCTCAATTATAAAATAAATTTAATAAAAAATAAGTTAAAAAAGAAAACTATTTTTTCCAAATGTCCCATTTACACATGCAAGTCAGAATATTAGTAAAATTTCAGGCATTATATTTGAAAAATTTATTTGCATAATAATATAGTAAGAATTTTTTGTAGATTTCAGGATATTTTATGCACTACAGCCTCCTGAAGTTTGTTAACTCCTCTGCCTCAAATCAGTAATTTAGTGTCTTGTGGCAGGCACTTATTTGCACAAGGTTGCACTAGATAAAATTCTATGACCCTTCCATCTTTGTAGGTAGTATTTTCATGAGAGATGGTGTATAGCAAGCACCTTCCTATTTATAGAAGGAAAACTAGATCTTTTAGATATCTCATGCTAATGGAGAAAAATTCCACTGAGCTAAATATATTGGAAATTCAGCCCTGACAGCAGAACATGTAAATGAAATCCAATCTTGCAGCTTGAGTCATAATTGAAGTTTCTGCTTGGGGTTGAGAGAGGCCTTGAAGTCATCACCTTAAAGACCATCTCCCTTGCTCCTAGATGCTTCTACATGTACTGGGAACATGTGCTCCAGCATAGATGATTTATAGGGGATGATGATACACTTTTCATGTGCTGTAAATGCCATGAAATTATATCAGGAAATTCAAAGAGCAATGAATTTAGAAAAAAATTAAGTACGTGGAGGATTTTAGAAATCCTAGAAGTTAATAATAGTACACTTCCATTGGGAATGTTACAAAATTGAAGGGCCTAAATATAACTTTTTGAGCAACCGCTCAAAAATCTGACTTTTAAAAATTGTCAGAGAACAGAGAACTGGAACAGGAATCATCTGATGATACATATGTCAAAAGAATTAGAGTTGTGTTGTGTAATTTTCCCTTTGGATTAAATGTCATACAGGTTTTAGTCTTGATTTTCTATGTAAGTGTATACAACTCATTTTTATGCCTAAATAACAAGGGAACAGCTGAAATTCATGTTCTGCCATTGAATTAAACATGATAATAGATGGACCTTTTATTGCAACTTACTTATAATAACCCATGTTAATTGAATACGTACATATTATGTGCAAAGCACTGAAGGAACTAAATAGATGAGAAGTAACAGGATCTACTCTTAAGAAATTTTAATCTGGTAGGAGACAGGAGGGAAACATTCAAGAAAAGATGGTGCGCATTCCAAGTAGTAAAATATAGGCCATGAATGAGTGATAAAATCATGCTAGAGTATCTAGAAACCATAGCATTTCCAGCACAGTTAGTCAGGGGGCTTTTACCAGAGGTCATAAAGGCAATTATATTTGAGCTTGCTCCTGAAAAATAGGTAAGATTTGAATAGATGTAAATTTGTGGAATACTTTTTCATAGAGGTGTACTATTATTAGTAAATACGTAGATAGAAAAACACAGTTAAGTAGACTGGGTAGTCTACAGATGACATTTCATGAAAGACAGTTATGGGAAAAACTGTTAAGGGGGGTTGGGACCCTCTTTGTAATGGGCACTGAAACCTGTGCCAAGAATGTAGATTCTAATTATCATAAAAATTGTCTTTTGTTATAATCAGTAAAGGAGTTTTATGATTGAAACAGTGCTTTAATAGTTCTAGAAAGAATACAGAGAACAGCAACAAAGCAAAAAGTCTAGAAAGATGCTGTTATAAGTGCCCAGGCATCACATCTCAAGGCAAGAGAAATGGGGGCAAGAAATTAGTTAGATCTCTTTGTACAAAAAATGAATAGAATTTAGTAAGTGATTAGAATCTGTAGGCCTTAGGAACAATAAGAAGAAAATAGGTCCACGAATAAAAATATGTAGTTCTAGGGAGAAAAAATGGAATGAGTTATACAAGGAGAAATTCCCAGCATGTTGGTTCTTATAGGAAAAAGAATTTTAGAGCTGAGTCATTAGAGCTAAGACTTTAAACACTGTTTAAAGTTTAAGATTAAGCTAAGAATTGAAACATTAATACAACTGTGAACGTGGAAGCCAAGAAGATGAACAGGATTCATATGGAGATTATCCAGGATGAGAAGGGTGATATAGCCAAATCCCTGCTCAGGGTACATCCACAATTAGTCCTATCATGAATCCGGTAAAGGATGCGGGAATGAGTTTTCAGATAGTTGAAAGGGGACAAAGGGTGATAGAATATGACTAAGTGGAATAAAATTTTAAAAAGAAAGTCCATTGTTACATAAGGTAAAACAGAGAGATGGAAAAGAATAAAGACTGGTAAGCAGCCATTCTAATAACATTTGTAAGGTACCTAGTGGATTTTTAAAGTGCGGGTTTCAAAAAGTGAAAAATTCGTGGGAGTACCAATATAAGGAAGGCATGTCAGGTTATCAGTTTTTGATTCTTCTCCATTCACTTATTCACAACATATTTTTGGAACACCTCTAATGAGTTCTAGGTGTTGGGAATATAGTAGTGGGAAAAACAAGTTCCTTCTCTCATGATCCTTACATTCTAGTGGGAGGAAACTGTTAATTAACTAATATATGTATCAGTTGCTGATAAGTTAAAGAAGAAAAATGAAGGGTGGGAATAGCTGGAGATTCATAGTTTCCCAACTTCAAAAAAGAGGCCTTCTCTTCACTCATGTACCAGTGTTCTACCTTTGAGTCAGACACATTCATAACTACAGATTAATTTTATGATTTAAGAAGATGGCAAAATGTCATTGGAGAATTGAAAAAGTCACTCCCTAGTCTTGCTCTCACTATAGAACACAATCCTTAGAAAGTATGAGACACTATTCATGTTGTTTTTACATGATAGGAATAGTGCTTTCTGCAAAAACTTAACAGCTTTGCAGACTCCATGGGTAAAAAAGAAATAAAACTGAGATAATAAAGTGGTAGTTCCAAGATATCGTTCTCCAAGTGTCTGTCTTAAACAGGTCTGGAAGAAGACCAAGTTATGATATTTTAAGGAATTGGTTGCCTTAAATGTGTTAAGGGCCTTATTAACACAGTATATGTGTGCATGTGCCTACTACTGACATGATTTGAGCATCTTTTCACCTAAACTCAGTGAAATGAGCAAATAAAATGTGAAATCATCTATAATAATGCATGGTTTCATGTTGGAAGAGTTACAACCTGAAGTGTGTACATATAAAAATGCATAGGCAAGTTTTGATTTAATTTAACACTTTTGCAGAGTCATATTGTTTAATCGAATAAGGAAATCAGGCTGTAAGCAGGGCAGAAATCAATGCTAAGCACTGGGGAGAAGGCTTCCCTTTCACTATCCCTATGACCCTTTCACTGTTTTTCTTAAAATGAAAATGTCTGGAAATGTAGGAAATTTCACTCTTCCCCAAACACACAGTAATTAAAATTGCCTTATGTGTCTGTTTAGGGAGGATGTGTGATGATATTCTGCCTTTATTTAAAATCATCTTTGGTATTAAATGTTATCTTACCTAAAAAGTAATATAGCAGAATGACTTTTATTATAGATGATAATTTATGAAAAATGTAGCCAACGGAATTGATGTCAAACTTTTATCCACAAGTGCTATTTACTTTAGTATTGCTCACTATTTACCAAGGTTTGTTACAGCAGTAGTCACTATCTCAGTTGGCATTCGGCCTGTTTATATTTTTTAAAGTGGCATTGTATTTTATTCTCATGCAACATTGGAGCTAATTACAGCGGCTTCCTCTTCTATTTCAACCCCCAATGCTCCCAGTTTTCTCTGGGTTTTGCTTTCACCCGCGGTCATAATATTTTTTCCATTTTGTGTTTGATCCTCTTTCATATACAGCCAGGAAAGGAGCATCCAACGCCACAAAGAATGAAAAGGCTTTTAGAACTAATTTTCATTTTCTGTGCAATGCCCATGGCGATCTCTGAGTGTGTGATGTGCCACCATCAGCTTTTGATTATGCAATTGAAATGCAAAAAGGTTAAAAGCTCAGCTTTATTGGCCTTATCAGCAGTTTGCACTCTCCCAAAAGCTCTGTTAGAACAAATACTTGATCACTTTTGCTCAAAGAATACAACAAGTTTTAAGAAGAGGAAGTTCATAGATGATGCCCAGAGAGAAATGGGTGTTTTGAAATTTTATACTATGTTTTCTCATGCCAATTTTATTAAGTTTTATATCAAAAATTGTTTTCAAATGTGATTGAAGTTTCAAAAGTGACCAAATATATCTTATTTCTTGATTTGCTGGCAGAGACTTGGAAGAATAGAGCTTTATAACAATATTCTACACAGAATAAAATACAGTGAAATACTGGCTGTTCATATTTCTACACCATCAAGTCTTCCACTTTGATTAAGTAGTTTTGAACTGGAGTGGATGCTGTGTTATTGCAAAGAGCACAACAATCTGACTTGCCTCAGGAAAAAACAAAAAATCTGTGTGTGTGTGTGTGTGTGTGTGTGTGTGTGTGTGCGCGTGCATGTGTGTCAATAATTCTAGGCTGGTCAGGATGAGACTTCAATAAGCATGCGGAATCAGAGAAATTCCAGCTAGATTATACCAGTCTTGAGGTCGCATCTTTGAGAGTTGGCTGGCACTATCATGTGAGCTGTACTGTGGGGAATATGACTTGCTGTATTTTCTCTCCCTCCACTGATTCAGATATTGTAGGGGCTTGTAGTAGGAGATAAAAGGAAAAATCCTGGACTATAAGAAACAAAAAATAGTTTCAGGCTCTGATGTTCACATTAAAAATGATTTTGTGCTCATTTTAGAAATAGGAGAGTACATGATGAATTATAAGATTATTGTCTCACTTATATTTATATAAAATATCATGCCCAACTTTGTATCTTCAAAGAACCCATATCACGTTTGCATTGGCTAGATTAAGCACTTCTGAAAGGATAGCGATCACGTTAACCTTCCATGAAGCACAAATTTAAATCCCTGAATTCATTGAGCAATGTTGACCTCACTACATTACATTCTCCTCATGAAAATGAGATCTATATGTGACAATGTACTAGTACCAAAGAAATCTGAGAGAAAATATGAACTTCAGATTCCTTACAGAATCAGAGATCAAAAGATCTGTTCCATTAAACTTTAAACCCAAGAAATTCATCTGTCTGCCCCAGTGCCTAGTGTCAATCAATGACTCAGCTTTAGCTGGATTATGGTTAAGCCTGAATGGTCATGCAAGAGAGAATTTCAGACAACCAGTCTCCAAAGAGATTGCTATTCTAAGATTCAACGTGAAAGAGAAATATGCTTAGGTTTTAGCTATATAGCAAAGAACTCTTACTCACCTTTAATGATACAGGAAAAGAACTGTATACCAAATTTGCCATACTCACTCCTAATGAAACACACAGTGTATTCATTAGTAATGTGACACAAATCAATAGATATTTTATTTCCTGTATTTATTTCTAGAGGTTTGGGGACCTTCCCTCTTCGCCATTTGCTGAACATAAGCTGACCCAAAATTCCTACTGGCTATGATATTAAGCAAACTGGTGAGAAACTAGTCTTATTTTATATAATTATAAACAGTTTACTTAAAAATTCCAACTCATTGGGATAAAAAGAGGAAATGGTTTTTTTCTAGTAACTTTTTACCACCGCCTCTCATTGAATTCCCCTTTCCCACTTAGTCAATTTCTTTGCAAAAACATCGTCAACTCCTGTAACTTTTCCATTACATCACTTGTAAGAAGTCTTATTCTTGTTATTAAAACCAAGTCCTACTCATTATAAAAATTCATTATCATAGGTTCCAGTTTTATAGTTTACTTTAAAAATGCAGGATCAGTATGTCAAGTTAAAGATCATGTTTGTAAATAGTGTCTTATAACCCATTATTTTAAAATTATGACAGTGTAACACTGATTGCCTAAACAAACACACAACTAAAAAGAAAATAAATAAAAACTCTACACTTTAACTTCATGCCCCCACTTTTAAACTTTTTCTTATTTCGATTTATGTCTTATTGCACTGTCTATGTCTTGAAAAGTAATTGTAGTTATTATTTTTGATCGGTTCATCTTTTAGTCTTTCTACTCAAGATAAGAGTAGCTAACACACTACAGTTACAGCATTATAATATTCTGAGTTTTTCTGTGTACTTACTATTACCAGTGAGTTTTGTATCTTCAGCTGGTTTCTTACTACTCATTAATATCCTTTTCTTTCAGATTAAAAAACTCCCTGTAAGCATTTCTTATAGGACTGGTCTGGTATTAATGAAATCTCAAGATTTTGTTTGTCTGGGAAAGTCTTTATTTCTCCTGTATGTTTGAAGGATATTTTTGCTGGACATACCATTCTAAGATAATAGTTTTTTCCTTCAGCACTTTAAATATGACATGCCACTCTCTCCTGTCCTGTAAGGTTTCCACTGAAAAGTCTGCTTCCAGGAACACTGGAACTTCATGATATGTTATTTATTTATTTTCTCTTGCTGTCTTTAGGATCATTTCTTTATCCTTGAACTTTGGGAGTTTATTAAATGCCTTGAGGTAGTCTTATTTGGGTTAAACCTGCTTGGTGTTCTGTAACCTTCTTGTACTTGAATATGGATAACTTTCTCTAGGTTTGAGAAGTTTTCTGTTATTATCCCTTTGAATAAACTTTCTACCCCAATCTCTCTATTTCCTCTTTAAGGCCAATAACTCTTAGATTTACCCTTTGAAGCTATTTTTTACTACTTGTAGGTATGCTTTATTCTTTTTTCTTTTGTCTCCTCTATGTATTTTCAAATGGCCTGTCTTCAAGCTCTCTAATTCCTTATTCTGCTTGATCGAGTCTGGTATTAAGAAACTCTAATGCATTCTTCAGTATGTCAATTGCATTTTTCAGCTCCAGAATTTCTATTTGATTCTTTTAAATTATGTCAATCTCTTCATTAAATTTACCTGATAGGATTCTAAATGTTTTCTCTGTGTTTTCTTTAATTTCACTGGGTTTCCTCAAAACAGCTATTTTGAATTATCTGTCTGAAAGGTTCCATATTTCTGTCTCTCCAGGATTGGTCCCTGATACCTTATTTAGTTCATCTGGTGAGGTTGATTTTTTCCTGGATGATCCTGATGATTGTGGATGTTCATCAGTGTCTGAGCATTGGAGAGTTAGGTATTTATTATAGTGTTCACAGAGTGGACTTGTTTGTACCTGTCCTTCTTGGGAAGTCCTTCCAGGTATTTGAGAGAACTTGGGTGCTGTGACCTAAGTTTTTGGTCACTGAATCCATAGCCATATCTGTCCAGTAACACTGTGGCTTTTGCTGACTCGCAGAGGTAATACATCAGTGGTCTTGGATAAGTTCCAGAAGAATTCTCTGGATGACCTGGCAGAGAATCTTTTCCTCTTCCCTTACTTTCTCCCAACACATGGAGTTTCTCTTTCTATGCTGAGCTGCCTGGAACCGGGAGCTGGGTGACAAAAGTACCCCTGTGGCCATCATCACTGGTTCTACACTGGGTAAGACTTGAAGCCAGCACAGCACAGGATCTCACCAAGTAGTCACTGCCTGGTTACTGCCTACATTTGCTCCAGGCCCTAGGGCTCTATAATTGGCAGGTGGCAAAGCCAGAAAAGCTTGTGTTCTTCCTTTTAGGGTGTTGAATTCCCTTGATCCTGCATTCATCCAGAGATACCCTCCAGGAGTCAGGGCCTGGAGTCAGAAACCTCAAGAATTCACCTGGTGCTGTATTCTACTGCAGCTCAGCTGGCAACCAAGCCACAAGCCAAAGTCCTTCCCAATAGTCCCTGTCTTTTCCACAAGCAGAGGCGTCTCCTCCTCATGCCACTAGCTTCCCAGGCCAATGGCAAGAACTGCCTGGCTACCTCTGATGTTCAATCAAGGCCCATGGACCCTTCAGTCAGACCCTTCAGTGAACTCATGGTGCATGCTCCCAGGTCCTGGTCTCACCCTTCAGGGCAGTGGGCTCCCCTCTGGCCCAGGACAGGTTCAGAAATGCCATTCAAGAGCCATGGCCTGGAATCAGGGATCCCAAGCGCCTGCTTGGTGCCCTACCCCACTGTGGCCAAGCTGGTACTTAAGCTGTAAAACAAAGTCCCCTTTATTTTTTTTCTCAGGCAAAGGGAGTGTTTTCCCATAGCCACCACAGCCAGGAATCTTCTCGGTCATACCTGAAGCCGTCACATCTCTTAGTCTCACCCAAGGCTCATGACAAGTACTGCCTTGGTACTGCTGCTGGTTATTCAGGGCCCAAGGGCTCTTTAGTCAGCAGGTGATAAATCCTGCCAAGACTAGATCCCTCCCTTTAAGGCACCAGTTTCCCTTCTGGCCCAGGGCGTATCTAATAATGTCATCCGGGATCTAGGGCCTGGATTGGGGGCCTCCTTCAGGACTCTGCCTCATGCCCTATCCTACTATGGCTGAACTGATATCCAAGTTGCAAGACAAAGTTCTCTTTACTCTCCCTTCTCCGCTCATCAAACAGAAAGAAGCAGTCTCTCTCAGGGGTGTGAGATGCGCTGCCTGGGGTTGGGGGAGTGGTGGCACAAGCATTCTCTTGGTCACTCCAGCTGGTATCTCACTAGGTTGTGTGTGCCCTAAGTCCACTGGCTTCAAACCCAGTGCAGCACGAGGACTTGCCAAGGAATTGCAGTCCCTGTGGCCTAGACTGCCTTTCAGATTTACTCAGAACACCAGAGCACTTTAGCCCACACTGACGAGGCTTACTGGAGCTCAGGTTCTAACCACTGGGTTGGGCAATTCCCCACTGGTGAGGGCTCATCTAAATGCTTTCTCCATGGGTATCATCTGAGTTCTGTCCCATGTTGCTTTCCACTGTGACAGGGAAGCAGTGAGTTCTAATGCAAAGTCCCACAATCACTATGCTCTCCCTCCCCCAAGCACACAGATTCCCTCCCTGTGCGACGTGGCTACTGCCAGGGCATGGGGGAGGAGTGCTGTAGGCATTTCTAGACTGTCTCTCCTACACTCTTCAGTGCCTCTTTCAGTGATATGAAGTTAAAACCAGGTACTGTGAGTGCTCATCTGATTTTTGGTTCTCATGAAGGTGCTTTTTTTGTGTGGATAGCTGTTAAATTTGGTGTTCCTACGTGTAGGATGATTGGTGAAGAGTTCTATTCACCCATCTTCCTCCTCTTCCTCCTCTGACGTTCATGTTTACCGGTGTCATTTGGGGAATTGATCATGTGACACAAATTGCAAAGTACAAAAAAATGACAACTGAATTAAAAAATTGAATCTTAACATGAAATGAATAAAATAGTTTAAGTTCATATACATTCTGTTGGTTACTTGCTATTTGGTTTTTCACGTGTCTATCGGAAGAAAAATTTAATTTGGAGGATACACTCACTAAGATTACCTTTCATTAGAGGAGAAATTTCAAGATTTGTGACTCCTATAGCAATAGTTACATATTAAATCCTTCAAATCTATTTAAATTTCTTTCTTAAGCAGAGTGTGGGGAGAGTGGAAAATATATGTATTGTATTAGGTAGTTTATTTTAAAAGATGAGGTTTACTTTGCTCCCAGTTCTGCAGGCTGTACAGAAAGCATAGTGGCTTCTGCTTCTGGGGAGACTTCAGGATGCTTCCAATCATGGCAGAAGGCAAAGGGGGTGCAAGACTTCTCACATGGCTGGAGCAAGAGCAAGAGAGAAACAGCAGGGGAGGTATCACACTTTTAAACAACAAGATCTCACGAGAACTTACTCATTATTGCGAGGACAGCTTCAAGGGGATGGTGCTAAGTCATTCAGGAGAAATCTACCTTTATGATCCAATCACACCCCCCAGGCCCCACTTCCAACATTGTGGATTACAACTGAACATAAGATGTGGGTGGGGACACACATCCAAATCTCGTTTTTTTATATATCCCCATCTATCTATCTATCTATCTATCTATCTGTCTATACACACACACACACACACACATATATGTATTATAATATATACATGTATATACATGTACCTATGTATATATACATGTATATAGACACAAGTATATACATGTGTCTATATACATGTATATATATGTATATATTATAATACATACATATATATGTTTTCTGTACAGCCCGCAGAACTGGGAGCAAAGTAAACCTCATCTTTTAAAATAAACTACCTAATACAATACATATATTTTCCACTCTCCCCACTCTCTGCTTAAGAAAGAAATTTAAATAGATTTGAAAGATTTAATATGTAACTATTGCTATAGGAGTCACAAATCTTGAAATTTCTCCTCTAATGAAAGGTAATCTTAGTGAGTGTATCCTCCAAATTAAATTTTTCTTCCGATAGACACGTGAAAAACCAAATAGCAAGTAACCAACAGAATGTATATGAACTTAAACTATATATATATAATAATATATACATATATGTGTATATATAATATATATACACATATATGTATATCTATTATATATACATATATGTATATATAATAGATATACATATATGTATATATAATAGATATACATATATGTGTATATATAATAGATATACATATATTTGTATATATAATAGATATACATATATATGTATATCTATAACATGTATATCTATAATATGTATATATATAATATATATATACATATGAATATAATAGATATATATGTGCTACATATAATATTCTCTAATATATATTTTTTAGAACTTTAGGTTGGGCACAGTGGCTCAAGCCTGTAATTCCAGCATTCTGGGAGGCTGAGGTGGGCACATCACTTGAGGTCGGAAATTTGAGACCAGCCTGTCCAATATAACAAAACCCCATCTCTACTAAAAATACAAAATTTAGCAGGGCGTAGTAACATATGCCTGTAGTCCCAGCTACTCAGGAGACTGAGGCAGGAGAATTGCTTGAACCCAGGAGGCAGAGGTTGCGATTAGCCGAGATCAAGCCAGTGCACTCCAGCCTGGGTGACAGAATGAGACTCCATCTCAAAAAAAAAAAAAAAAGAGAGAAGAAATTTAATATATATAATTTTGTAGTAAGTCAATGACACTGAAATGTCAGCCTTTATGGTGTGAGTCAACTTTATTAGAGACCCTTGGTATATCAAAATATTAAACTGTAGAAATATTTCAAAAACTGGATGACATTTTCCTCTTTTGAAAGGAGAGCAAATAATTATTTTCTAATAGAATACTGGTCAAATATTAACATTTTTATACAAATTGCAAAAACATCGATGAGCTGCAAAGCATGTTGATCTGAGTTCTGGATCATGAGTTAGAGGAGGAAAATAGATGAAGGATAACTAGAGATCATGGTGAGATTGAAGTGCCATCTGTGTATCTCCACAGCGTCTGTCATTGTGGCAGCTGGGCGTGACAGGGAAATCTGCATGTACACATCCGTAGGACAGCTTTGAGGCTCAGAGTCCTGGTGACCTCAAAGATCCCAGGAATTGAGTGGTTTTATGAATTTCCCTTTTCAGTCTTTGGCTTAGCTTCTAATATAACTCATTAACAAATAGTAATCAAATAATGGTTTTCACTTGGGTGCTTACAACAAAATGACCCTCTCAACTTTATAGCCTCTACTTCAAGACAAAAAGTCCTAAATGTCAAAGTAGAAATATAGCTCCTGTTCACTGCCTTTTTGCATATAAGGAATGAAACTGTGACTGATGTTTATAGCTAAGCCTTTTTATTAAATAACTGTCTTTCTTTGAGCAATGGAATAATTCGAAAGGGAATTTGTGTTCATTAAAGAACATTGCCTGACTTTCTTCCAAACACTCTCGTGTTCTCTTCTAAAGGAAAAGATGTTGCTTGGAAGCTCTGTCATCTTGATCTGATTCAGCATTCTAATTATTTTACTTTAATGGAAGAAACTCTGATAACAAATTCATAAATAAATGCTTATTAAAACAGCTCATTTATCAGTGCCTCTTTATAATCAGTTCAATTGGGTTATGATTTAGGTTGTAATGCCTGCAGCATATTAATTTAGCTATTCAAGTGCAATAATCAGTAATGACTTGTATTTGAATTTTGACCTTCCTTCTAAAGATTTAATACCATTTTCAAAACAGCACACTAATAAGATTATACATGAAGTTTATTTGAGCATTGTATTATGAAAAGTATCTGCAATTTGACCCAGTAGTAAGCCAGAATAAAGTATTATAAATATAAGATATAATTATCTAATTATATCTTTGTTTTTGTGGAATAAGTATGTTGAAAATGGACGCAATAACTGTTATCCCTTTAAAATATAAGGTTTATAAACTTTTTTAAGAACTTATTCTGCATCTATATAAGGTACACTAACAAATAAGTTAGTGTACAGAAAAGGGATTGCATTGTCCACTGAGACACAGAGTAGATAAAGAATTGTTTAGCAAGGTAGCTTATTCAGCCACATTATTCCAAAATTTTTCAGTTTAATCTAGAGTCCTATTTTTCAAAGATTTTCCACATCTCTCCACAAATTGCATTTTTCAGCCTGATTCTTCATGGCTGCTTTCTAAATGCTCACCATTTTCATAGCAGAAAGCTAGTTATACTAAATTGTTCTAATTATTTGATGTGAATAGTATATTATATAAAAGCACTTACTTACACAAGGCCTAGCACATAGCACTTAATATCTTTTAGGATCCTCTTTTCCATCTGTAGACACCGAGATATGGTTCAACACTTTACATGCTTAAGATGCTCTGGGATGTTCACTGAGGAATGCAAAGATGAATGAGGTGTTAATGAGCTTGTGAGAAAATGCACATCAAAAATGCTTAATGAGGGGAGAGACTGTCTTTTCTGTGTGTAACATCAGTACCTAGCCCAGTGCCTGCTCAATATTTAGTGCCGAAAATGTTGATGGAATCAATGATTTCAATTTGGAATAAATAAATATTGTGTACAATTAGTAACATATTGTAAATCTTAAGATAATACATTTTATTTGAAAATATGGTGCTGGAAAGGTGCTATTTGTTATGGGTCTTAAAATATTGGTAATCTATGAAAAGGGGAAAAGCGTATTTGAGGCTGAGGAGAGAGTATGAAAAAAAAAGAGACCTGTACACTTGGGAATGTTGGTGTAGTTTTGTCTGAGGTGGTTAGATTTGCTGTCACTGAAGCTATGTATGTGTACAAAGACAGAGTGAAAGTTGAATCTGGAATGACATGTTTAAGTTAGTCACTAGAAGGCCTCAAACCACCCGCTTCCCCTAACCCCGGTTCTGTAGATGTTGAGACTGGTGGACCAGGGGTCTGCTCTCTCTGAACCTTACTCCTGATTTCCCTATGAAAGCTGGCTTTGCTAGGTGTCCTGTGATATATTTGGGTTTATTCCTACTTTTGCAAAGGTAGGAACATTGTTTCCAGTTTACCTCCAGTGTCTAGAAAAATATGTGGCAGAAAGCATGACTTCAATAAATATTATTTTAATCATTGAGTATTTCCACAATTCCACTAATTCTACATGACATTGTGAACTATTGTACATTTTTAAATGGTGAAAAAGTACTATCTTGCCTTTATTTTATGAAAACAATATTAAGAGTTGGCCTGAACACGTCTGTTCATCCATTTGCATTTGTGCTCATATACTCATATGCCAGTCACTGTGGATGAACAGAATGGTCTATCATCTAAAGCCAATATTTCTTTTTCCTAATTTCCTATCCGAGAACATTATTCCAGAAATACTTCTTTGTATTTCCTACATTATTAATTTTGCCCTTTCTTTGGACCATTTCCATTGGCATGCAAACATGTTATTATTTTTTTTCCATCTTAGAAAACATTAAGCACAACTATCTTGACTCTACTTCCTCTGTAACTATTTACCTTTTCTCCATTCCTTTTTTGAGTGAAGCATCTTGAAATTGTTTCCTATACTTACTGCATTCAATCCCACTACTTTGTTAGAAATCCCTTTCAATCAAGCTTTCTCCTTATCACTTCCCCCAAAAACCTTCCGTGAGGTCATCAGGGATAGCCAATTTTCTAAATCCAATGGCTGATTATCAGGTCTCATTTTATGTCCACTTTCTGCAGCATTTGATCAAGTTGGCCCCCAGTTTCTTGAAATAATACCTTGAAGACATTATTTCATTTCCTTTGGCTGTGTGGACATCATAATCTTCTGTATCAATTGCTTTCCAAAATCATTTTCTGGCTCTTTCTCCTACTGATATATGACTTTTGGAGATCTTCAAGGCTCAGTTCTTTTACCAACTTTCTACACTATCAAGACTTGTTTCTTTAGTGATCTTATCCTTTCTCATGGCTTTTTATATCATTCATACATTAATGACTTCCAAATTTGTACGGGTAACCAAGGCCTTTTGTCTGACATTCAGACTTGTATGTCTGATGGCCTTTGCAATGTTTCTTTATTGATGTCTAGTTGGCAGTCAAGCATCTCGAGTGAAATATAACCCAAACCGAAAATATGTTGTTCTGATCCTTACAAACTTTCTCATCTCAGTAAAGTCCACTTCTTAGTTCTAGTTGACCAAGTTGAAGGTTTTAGAATCGTTTCTGACTCATTTATTTCTTTCACAATACTCATCTAATCCAGAAACATGTAATGTCAGCTTTTCCTTCAAGAATATTTCTCACCACTCAACTAATGCCCAATCCAAAGTACCCAGTTCTCTAAAACAGATGATTGAAATGACCTCAACATGTGTCTTCCTTCACCCATCTCTGCCTTGACTTGAGTCTATTTACATCTCCAGCACAAAAGGGAATGTTAAAATTGGAGTCAAATTATATTACTTCTCTGCCAATATCGTCCAATGGGTTTCTGTATTGCTTAGATAAATTGCCAAAATCTCTACACAACCTAGCACCTGTTATTATTCATCTCTATTTTCATCTACTCATCCTCATTTATTCAGGTCTTCCTACGTTCACTTTTAATTCCTAACACACACTAGTCATGCTCTTACATTAAGTCTTGTCTCAGCCCCCTTCCATCTCTCTTCCCCTTCCTTTCATGACCTTTTTCCACAGCATTTATTATCATCTGAAACACTGTATCTTTTACTTATGTATTGCATTTCTCCTCTCATTGAGTGCGAGCTCCAATATATTTAATTGGATATATTGTGAGCTCATGATATTTAATAGCACTGTTCACTGCTGCGTACCGTTTTTGGCATATAGCAAGTACATATGTAAGAAATATTTAATAAATTGATGATGCAAATGAACATCTTATGCATACTCCAGACCGCAAGTAGAAAGCAATGGGATGACCATGATTGTTTAGGCCAATTGGTATTCCTCTTTTAGGGCTGGGTCTTATTGCCACCTGAACAAAATTAGGATTATTTTAGAAAGGAGATGGATAGTCATGCAATTGTCAACCAAAAGCAAATATCACTCAGAGAGTGAAGCAAAAAGGTGGCATTTAAAGTACTCAAATGTGTTTTTATTTCAAAAACTACAAGTTAAAATATAAGTAATTTGTTTCTGTGTATATAAAAAAGTTCTTTTGTTTTTGTACTCTATATTTTTTTGTGAATTTTGGATTCTTAGAAAGCAATAGAAATCTTTGAAATATCAGGAATCCTAATTAAAAATCTAGTGGTCTTATATTATCAAAATCTCTATAGCGTCTTGTAAAGACAGAGTTTTTATTGTTATTGTTTTTTCTCTAGATTCCTTTCTTCTCTTCTGTATGCTGATGATGTTGAGAGTTTGTCCGAACTTGTACACTTTCAAGTCAATTTTGCATGACTGTACTAAGAGTCAGAAATAAAAGAGAAAAGATAGACTAGTAATTCAGACAAAAATGCACAATTATATAAGCATTTTTGTTTATTTCATATATTTGTAGTCTCTCAAAGTCCCAAATGGTATGGTAAGGTGAGTAATGCCCCACGAATACACATGTGTGCACATTATCTAAAGTCCTGGGCTCTATAGTTACTCGAACACTCAACTTGCTGGAACAATTTATAGCACAAAATGTTAGTTATGCCGGACATTTTATTTGAGTATGTTTCATGTAAATGTATAAAAATGCATCTATACCCAGTACAATAGAAATGGAAAAATTCTCGTATAAAAAAGATATAAACTAGGTGTTATAGTAGATGCATATGGGGAATATATCCACAAGAGAAACTTCACGAAACTTCACTCTGCATCAAATAGTATCTACATAGGACATGAACCAGAAGACGTGTGTAACTCACACCTTTAGTTTCCAGATTTTTTAAAATAAGACAATGATTTGCATTTCCACAAAACAAAAAATAAAACAAATAAAATAAAAAAGAATTCTTTACATTTTCCTGTTTTCAAGAGAGAGATTGACTAACATTACATAGGAAACATCAATATTCAAATATCAGTATCTTTTATAACTTGGAATTGAGCCTTTATTGCAAAAGGATTGTGGTGTCATGGAAGAGAGAGATCACATAATTTCCTGGAAAGAGAGAAAGATGCACTGAACTGAGGTTGGTTACCACATTTGTGGGTAAGAAGTATCTAGTGGCAAGAATTTGCACAGCAAAGAGGAGGTATTAACACTTGTTTTACAATGCAATTGATGATAACATATGAATTGTTAGTAAGTCCATATCAAGATACCAGTAATTCACTTAAATTATTTATAAATTAGTAATTATTAAATTATTAGTAATTATTAAGTTACTAATTTATAAATGTCTTGATAAAAGTTGAATTGTCATTCACAAAAATATGACACTTGCATAATGTAAAATCTGTACCCTAAAGGAAGATACTGAGACAAAATTCTAGCCACACATATCAATATTAGGAAATTTATTGATTAGAAAATATTGAAAGTTAACTTTGAAGTTCCTATATATATTATTCAGAAACATATTTCAAATGTATATAAAAATACTTGAATAAAAATAAAATATATCCCTTGGAGATTGCAATGATAGTAGACAGTTTTAGAAGAAATCTAACAGATTTTTCTTTTCACCTTTAGGATTTATTTCTCCATAATGTAGATATACATGCTATATCTATGTATGTGTATGTAGAGATGTATGTGTACATGTATGTGTGCATATATGTGTGTGTATGTAGATATATACATTTCTCATCTAAAACTTATTCTCAGGATACTGGAAGACTGCAGGAAGAACTAAAAAACATATTTACCTGACATTGGAAGACTAATCCTATGGGGCACCTGCCATGCTGAACCCACCTCCACTGTCTTCTACTAGGCAGCCCCAGTTTTGTTTTGCTGAAACTCTGGTGTGCTGTTCTCGACATACTACCTCAGGTTTTGGCAAATGCACCACCATGGGTTATCGCCTTCCTTGTATTTTCCTGGATGAATAAGATTAAAATCTGTGAGATAGAAATGAGCATGTCTTAAATAAGGTAAACTATTTGTAAAAGGAGAGGTTGAGGAAAAACTCTCTCTTTGATGAGAAGGAGGGAGAGAAAGATGGATTTTGAAACAAAGAAGAAGAGCAGGAACTAGGTTATGTGAGGTTTATGTATGGATGATGCAATTTAAATAATGTATTCTTTGTTTTCTGAAAACTGTAGTATTAACTTCATCTTCTATTTGTTTTGCCCTATATTATAATTCCCTCTTGCCCCAGTCTTCACTGAAGTCTGGTTGCATTTATAATAGTTTTGTGTTAGGGGCAGTCAAAGAGGTATGAACTTTCTTGCATCTGCCTCTGCAGAGGCCACTGTAGTCACATTATATTTAAGGAGGTCAGAGGTGCCAGAATCCTAGGGAATATCCCTCAGTGCGGTTAGCAGTGGAGTACAAGGTTACATTTTGGACACTTCCAGCAGAGGATAGAAGAGGAGATAGACTGTGGACTTTTGAAAAGGGTGTCAGACAACTCGATTTGCATGTATTTATCAGTGTTTCCCACCTCAAAAGCATAAGAGAATTAACGCATCCTCTCAGGAATTCTACCAAAGAAACAAAGGAGTTTGGAATTTATCAGTAATTTGTTTTATTTTAAACATTAATGTGTCAGGGAAGCAGAGAAGCAGAACCACAGTGAATGATATTAAAAAGGCATTTGTTAAAGGGATTGATTGACCAAATGCATTGTATTTGTTAAACAGTCTATTGAAGGCTGTTGTTTCTGCTCCTAGGGTCAGGTCTGAGGTTGGCAGAAGAGGTAGGTAGAAAAGTCGGATGGATACGAAAAGGGGAAAACAATGGTAAATTGGAATCATGTCTTTTATTATCTTTATCTTCACAGATGCAGGTGCCTACAGGGTAAGTCGGTGCTCTTGATCATGAAGCTGCATACTTACCTGGACCAGTTTGCAGGAGAAGCTGAAAGAGGAGATCTGGCAGGAGCTAGAGGAGTTTGGGGCCTGACTGCTACTCCAACAACAAGATAAACCAGCAATTCAGCAACAACATGCATAAGCTGCAATAGATCCTGAACTCACACTCACCTTTCTAGGACAAACAGGGTGTTGCTCCCCTGTCATTTAAAAAATCATTTACAAATTTTATTCGTGGCCAATTCTCACTTGGAAAGATATATGGAAGACAAATGTGGCAAAGGGAGTTTCAGTTAAGCCAAATTGAAACAAGAGAAAGCAACATTTCATTTAATTTTGCAACTTTAATGTAATTGTGCTCTAAATTGTGGACTTTGGATTAATAGCAAAATTCCAAGTTGTGGAATATTATCTTCTGGTTTTGAATACATCCTAGCACTTTATCATATTCTATATACTAACATTATATAGTGCTTATTATAGAGAGTGGGTTTAGTAGTCCCTAATATTCATGTCTTTATAAAAGCTGAATTTGTAATATTCTTTCAAGTATCATTGACAATTTCCTGTACCAAGCAAAATGATATCATGATAATTAAAATTAAAATTCTGACATCTGGAACAGGAAGCTCAGTTAAGCAAAATTTATTCGGAAAAAAGATGTCTTACCAGGGCTGTGTATTAGACTTTATTTTAGGTTAAGAGAAAAATATGATTTATAGGTTTCCTGAGACTAAATCGTTAACACAATATTACATACTATAAGCAGATAAGTTCCAAGCACAATCCTTGGCATAGTTTAAGGAGTCTAACAAAGAAAGAAGGAATGGAATTAATGGTGATGTTGATGAAGAGGGAGGTTGTGATGATGGTGATGTGAGAACACAACGAGCTGTAATAAATAAAGAAAAATCATCCACTACTGTTTTTAAGGCATAAATACACAGTAGGTCTTATAGAAAACTGGAAAAGTCACCTATTAATCGGCAACTCTAATGATCAATTTATCTTGTAACCTTAAGGTGTGATCTGTTCTTCAAATTTATCTTACTCTCTCCACTCGTGCTCCTTTGTGAGTTATCATACCCTTTCATTAGCTCACCTATCAAATGTCAGTGACCTCTGTTCGATTAAGGACTAGAATAGAATAGAATAGAATAGAATAGAACAGAACAGAACAGAACAGAACAGAACAGAACAGAACAGAACAGAACAGAACAGAACAGAACAATTTGGCTTTCAGGCTTACATGGCAAAAAGCATACCATCTTTGGGTAGAAAGAAATACCTTTATTCAGCAAAGACCTATAAACATAGCAGACTTTTTGGTGTTGCCGACTGAGCAGTATAGACCTGTATCTGTTTTAGATGATTATGTTACTCTTGCCCATAATGGTCCAAAATAGGAACTTTTTTTAAAAAAGATGTTGAGAGAGGCGAGGGATTTGCAGGATGCGCCACAGAGCCGTTTTGTTTTGAAAGTGTAAAAGAAGTATAATACATAATTTCTGATTAGTTTTTTTAAAACTACAAAATGTTGTTTTTTCCACTATTCTTCTGAGGGATGTTCACCAATATTCTGGTTTTCCTCTGGACACATGGTTGAATTGCACTTCCTCACTCCCCTCCCCATAGCCTACCATGCTTGCAGTTAGTTAGGCACAACCAATGACCTGCTGTAGCCAACGAAATGAGAGCAGAAGTGAAGTGTTCACTTATGTTTGTCCTACTTCTTGCAATAAGTAATTTGAGGCAGTTGTGACCTTGGCCATGGATATGGTGGTACATCATTTGCACTGTTAAGATTATGACAAAAACATTGCACATATTCAATTTATTTCATATTAAAAACAAATAAAATATTTTGAACTCACCATAAAATTGCTTGATTAAAACATGGCTACTATGTACATTCTAAATATACTTCTCTTTATTGGAAAAATATTAATTAAAATAATTATTACTTTAACAGAAACTCTAAGTGATTAGTGCTTCATAATGATTGCCCACAGATTTAGAATACTTATTAATTCTATAATAATGTAGTCTTAAGAATTATATGTGTTTAACTTTTTCAGGCTAAAATAATGTGTTACGTATAAAGATTTAATTGTAGGCACATGACTCTGAACTCCCTTTTCCCAAGTGTAGAGATTGTTGTGACAAGTCCTGAAATGGAGCCTCCATCAGCCTGAGTGACTACAATGAGCTGAAATCAGTGCTGCTCCATTTGGACATTCAAGATGAGTGAGATAAAAAAAAAAAATTGTTTTGTGTTAAGCCACTGAGAATAGGGTGGTGTTTGTTACTGCAGCCTGACATAGCCCACCCTGACAAGTACAGATGGCGGCCTGTAGTGCTTACATACCAAAAAAGAATAATCTTAGAATGCACAGTGTAAAGCCACTCAGTCACTTGTCATAAAATTTATACGATGAGAAAGAGGCCACACAGATCCGCAGATGGTGGACCAAACTCCTTGGTTGGTTGGTATTGGGAGAACAAGTGTTAGGCCTGGGGAGAATGTGTGGGTATCCATCTGTCTTTGGCCAAGTGAACACGCTAGTGTTCCAGGTCTTTAGGCAAAAGCAGAAAAGAGATGACAGCTTTCAGCTCAACAGATAACTTAAGATGCCAAACTTTTCTGCTGTGTGCCTTATTTTTTTGAAGAAGCCCAGAGATCCCCAGTTCAACAAGTAACTATATATAATAAGCATGAACTTATGTTTGCCCTACTTCTTGCAATAAGTAATTTGAGGCAGTTGTGACCTTGGCCATGGTGGTAAATCATTTGCACTGTTAAGATTATGACAAAAACATTGCACATACTTAATTTATTTCATATTAAAAAGAAATAAAATATTTTGAACTCACCATAAAATTGCTTGATTAAAACATGGCTGTTATGTACATTCTAAATATACTTCTCTTTATTGGAAATAATATTAATTAAAATAATTATTACTTTAACAAAAACTCTAAGTGATTAGTGCTTTATAATTATTGCCCACAGATTTAGAATATTTATTAATTCTACAATAATGTAGTCTTAAGAATTATATGTGTTTAACTTTTTCAGGCTAAAATAATGTGTTACGTATAAAGTAGTGTAATAGGGTTACTTGGCATGGTCCCTAATCACTTTACCAGCCCACTTATTTAAAATTATCTGGCATATCCTTAAGGTTGATAGGAAAGAGAGAGGTTTTTGAATTTCTCAAAGGGAAGTTAAAAGATCTCCTGTAACTTTTATTCTAACACCTAAGAACAGCTTCATATCAAAATCAATAAATATTTATTATGAGCACATTATTTATCAAAGACTGCTCAATTCAAAGGCAGTGAAAAGCACTAAGAGGACCTGCCTGAATGTATTTTACAGTCTCTATTAATTAAAATTACCATTAAGCAAATAATTTGTTATGGTCCTAATAAGTGCAACAAAGGGGATATTTATTTAGGCTCTTGTAAAAGTAGATAATAGAAGGACATAATCTTATGTTAGATCAGGAAAGTTTTGTAGAAAAATAAAATCTAGGCTGAAAGAGAAATTTGAATGATAAGTAGGGAGAAAGTAAGGGAGAAGAGGAAGAACTTTTCAAATAGCAGGTAACAGGAAATGGTGTGATTCATTCAATAAATAAAATGAAGATGAGTGTACAAGAAAAAGAGAGGACAGGAAGGAAGAACAGTGGAAATTGACTGTTCTGGAAATAGAACTTTTTGAGTTGTTTCTCTCTCTGTCTCTCTCTCTCTGTCACACACACACACACACACACACACACTCATACACACACGCTAGTCCCCCACTTATCCAGCGTTTCACTTTCAGCAGTTTCAGCTACATGAGGTCAACTGCAATAGGAAAATATTAAATTGGAAATTCCAGAGATAAACCATTCATAAGTTTGAAATTGCACACCATTCTGAGTAGCATGATGAAATTTCGTGCTGTCCCACTTCATCCTGCTCAGTGATCAGATTGACTTGTGGTGTCTCAGTGCTGTGGCCAAGTCATCCTTGTTTTACTTCATCATAGTCCCAAAGCCAAGAGTAGTGCTGCTGGCTATTTAAATGTGCCAAAAGAAGCCATAAAGTGCTTTTCATTTAAGTGAAAAGGTAAAACTTCTTTATAAGGAAAGAAAAAGAATCCCATGCTTAGGTTGCTAAATGCTACTGTGAGAATCAATCTTTTATTTATAAAATTGGAAGAAGGGAAGAGAAATTTATGCTAGTCTTGCTGTTACATGTCAGACTGCAAAAGTTTCCAACACATTGTGGGATAAGTGCTTAGTTAATGGAAAGGCATTACACCTGTGGGTAGAAGACATGAACAGAAATGTGTTCTGATTGACGGCAATCGGGCCTGGTACTATCTATGGTTTCAGGCATTCACTGGACATCTTGGAACATATTCCCTGAAGCTAAGGGGAAACATGGTACACAATATATAAAACATATATTGTAAGAGTGATTGAGATCTGCTTAGGAAAAACATTTGGAATAAGAAAAAGAACCTTCTGGCCGGGCATGGTGGCTCATGCCTGTAATCCCAGCACTTTGGGAGGCCGAGGCGGGTGGATCACCTGAGGTCAGGAGTTTGAGACCAGCCTGGCTAACATGGTGAAACCCCGTTTCTACTAAAAATACAAAAAAATAGCCAGGTGTGGTGGTGCGTGCCTGTAATCCCAGCTACTCCAGAAGCTGAGGCAGGAGAATTGCTTGAACCTGGGAGGCGGAGGTTGCAGTGAGCCAACATCACGCCGCTGCACTCCAGCTTGGGCAACAAGGGTGAAACTCTGTCTCAAAAAAAAGAAAGAAAGAAAAGAAAAAGAACCTTCTTCAGGACCTAGAACAGAGTCCTGAGGAGTAACAACATTTAAAGGTGGAAGAAGTTGGCAAAATGATGGGAGAAGAACCACCAGTGAATCAAGAAGAAAACAAAGAAGGTGTGGTGCCCCCCAAAACAAAGGAAGCTTTCAAGAAGAGGGAATGCTGGCTTCCACCTTTATCAAGCTGATTACTGTCTTAGAAGAATGGAGACCCTGTGCTGTGAGATCTGATTTTATAAAAACTCTGAAATTTAAATTATTTGACATCCCTCCACTGTGTATTATTTCTTTCTTTTCTGTCTTATTGAAAAATACTTATTTTACTGTAAGTTCCGGGATACATGTGCAGAACGTGCAGGTTTGTTACACAGGTATACACATGCCATGGTGGTTTGCTGCACCTATTAACCCTTCGTCTAGGTTTTAAGTCCTGCATGCATCAGCTGTTTGTCCCGATGCTCTCCCTCCCCTCCTCCCACCGTCACGGGCCCCAGTGTGTGCTGTTCCCCTCCCTTTGTCCATGTGTTCTCATTGTTCAACTACCACTTATGAGTGAGAACATGCAGTGTTTGGTTTTTTGTTCCTGCTAGTTTGTTGAGCATGATGGCTTCCAGCTTCATCCAAGTCCCCACAAAGCACATGATCTCATTCCTTTTTATGGCTGCATAGTATTCCATGGTGTATATACACCACATTTTCTTTATCCAGTCTATCACTGATGGGCCATTTGGGTTGGTTCCATGTCTTTGCTATTGTAAATAGTGCTGCAATAAACATACATGCACATGTGTCTTTATAGTAGAATGATTTATATTCCTTTCAGTATATACCCAGTAATGGGATTGCTGGGTCAAATGGTATTTCTGGTTAGATTCTTGAGGAATTGCCACACTGTCTTCCACAATGGTTGAACATTCCCACCAACAGTGTAAAAGTGTTCCTATTTCTCCACAGCCTCACCAGCATTTGTTGTTTCCTGACTTTTTAATAAGCACCATTCTGACTGGTGTGAGATGGTATCTCATTGTGGTTTTGATTCACATTTCTCTAATGATCAGCAATGTTGAGCTTTTTTTCATGTTTTTTTGGCCTGTTTATAATTTTTAAATTTTAACTTTTATTTTAAGTTCAGGGATACCTGTACAGGTTTGTAATATAGGTAAACTCATGTTACAGGAGTTTGTTGTACAGATTATTTTGTCACCCAGGTACTCAGCCTAGTACTCAATAGTTACTTTTTCTACCCCTCTATCTCCTCACAACTTCCACCCTCAAGTAGGCCCCAGTGTCTTTTGTTCTCCTCTTTGGGACCATGAGTTCTCATCATTTAGCTCCCACTTATGCGTGAGAATATGTGGTATTTGATTTTCTGTTCCTGCATTAGCTTGCTAAGGATAATGGCCTCCAGCTCCATCCATGTTCCCGTAAAAGGCATAATCTCATTCCTTTTTATGGCTGTATAGTATTTCATGGTGTACATGTACCACATTTTCTTTATCCAATCTGTCACTGATGGCATTTATGTTGATTCCATGCCTTTGCTCTTGTGAATAGTGTTGCAACGAACATTCACATGCATGTGTCTTCATGGTAGAATAATTTATATTCCTTTGGGTATATACTCAGTAATGGGATTGCTGGGAAAATGATAGTTCCATTTTTACCTTTTAGAGGAATCAACACACTACTTTCCACAATGACATCCCTCAATTTTTAAATGAAGACTTAATTGTTAAAACTGTACAAACCCTGTCAATGTGCTGGAAAGAATGTTATTTTACAAACTCTGTGTTATAATACATCAACATTTGTAACCAATAATGATAACTATTTGGTTTAATTGGACATCTAGAAAATTAGCAAAACATTATGCCATAATTCTTAATTTAGCAAGCATTGAAATGTCATACAGCCGTAAGCAGGGACATACAAAAAAGAGAGATAGTCGGCTGGCCGCGGTGGCTTACGCCTATAATCCCAGCACTTTGGGAGGCCGAGGTGGGTGGATCACGAGGTCAGGAGATCGAGACCATCCTGGCTAACATGGTGAAACCCCATCTCTACTAAAAATACAAAAAAATTAGCCGGGCGTGGTGGCAGGCACCAGTAGTCCCAGCTACTCAGGAGGCTGAGGTAAGAGAATGGTGTTAACCCGGGAGGCGGAGCTTGCAGTGAGCCGAGAATGAGCCACTGCACCGCAGCCTGGGTGACAGCGCAAGACTCTGTCTCAAAAAAAAAAAAAAAAAAAAGAGAAAATCCATGGTAGTTTTACAACCAAAAGTATTCAATTCAATTCAGATCTCATGGTTAGAGTGCATATACTGTACATGCAAGCAAAAATGTAGTTAGTTGTAGTTTTCAAACAAGGGAAAGAACTGGGCATGAGCAACAATGGACACTACTATATGTTGCTTTCATGTTTGTTCTACTCTATGCATAAGAAAAGAAACTCTTTCATCTTCCCTGATTCCGATTTCTCCAGACATTCTCCTACAAGAAAATTTGTTGACATTCTTGATGACATCATTGTTCTCTCCTCAATTAGGTGGTCAGCATGATTGCGCACAGCCTGCATTTCTACAAGGAAGTACTGTAGGGAATGCTGTACAAAGCTTCTCTCAGATCCAGGGCTGTCATGTCTATTGGGGAATTGTGCAGTGGCCTCAACTGAAGTATGACCGCTTCTCTGAAAGTCTCAGTATTTCTCGTTTTCCTTGACACTGGACTGGTGGCTTTGCATGTATACTGGCTCTTTCTTCTTTCCTCCCTGCTGATGTCTGAAATGCACACGAAAGCACAAGGTAAGCCTGCCAACGTATACTTAGATTAGATTACTGGACGAGGTTGACAAAGGAAGTATTTGAATGGGAAAGATAACTAAATTAGGACCCTTTGTCAAGAGCAAAATCATTTCTCCTCTTCGGAATCTGAATCTTGAAATAGTATTTTTGGCATTCCCAGAAGGTACAAACAGCCTGCTTATTAATTATGGTTCTGGAAATTGCAATCTTTTTTTGAATATAAAATTACTTGCCATGTATTAGTATTAGAAGAGAGAGATGATAATAGTACTTCGCTACATTCTTGATCCTTTTGTTACGTTAGACTCACCCCTGGACATTATAAACTATAATTCTGTGAGCATGTCTTTTCTTTACCTTTTCAACATTTCTTGTTTCCTAGTATGTATGACAGTGTAAGAATTATGGTTATCAAAGTCCTCTTTTTCATAAAATAGAAATGAGTTTTCAAATGAGGTTTGATGTTAAAATAATATTTCTAATGTTTATATTTTAAGTATTTTCACATCAATGAAATTTAAAATACTTTCATTTCATTGAAGGGTAAATTGAATTTTCTGAAAAACCAAAAATGTAGTGATTCTATATAGTGAAGCCAGTGAAGGACAGATTATTTTTCATATATCACATATAACTAAGCAGTTTATATGTTATTATGCCATTGAATAAAAAATATAACTTGTATTCCTACAAGATAAATTTTCCCAAGACAGTAGGATGTGCCTGGAACACCTGTGGCCTCAGTGAAAATCCCTGGGGATTTGACTCCTTAAAAAGGTGCCCTTTCTCTTTCCTCTGGACTCCATTCTGGTTGGATGTGTGGGGTTTTGTCTGTTTGTTTCTGAAAGTCTTGGCTTGGAAAAAGAAGGGAACAGTTCCTGACCAACAGTGATTGGTTAGCTTGCTACAAACTAACTTCATTATAAACACATTTCCCCAAATACCATCTTACTAACTATAGACTACAATCAAAACTCTGGGTTCCAATGAGAGGAATTTAGCTGATGGTTCAAATGAAGGTCATTTAAGGAAGGGACTATGTTTAAAAATTGTAGGCAGTAATGAAGGGACTGCTTGAGAGAACAAAAATGGGTATCGAGGGAGGTGTCCAAAGAATAGCAGTTGAAGCAGTTGAAGGGACTAAAGGAGGAAATAGAGTCACTTCTGGAGCCCAGACAGACCTGGAGCAACTCAAGAGGCGTCACCCATCAGGAGCTGTGGTTACAGAGGAATAGTTCTGAGCAGTAAGATTGCTGGGGGAGTAAATATCCTCTCACTCCCCATCTCCTGCTGATGGTGACTAGTGGTGAACTCAACAAGCAAGGGAATGCGGCCAGCAGAGCGCTGAGCGGGGTGGAAAGAGTCAAGAAAAGGTCTAAATCGGAGTGCAAATGGAAGATACTCAGCACAGATCAGAATCCTGAGGGGCAGGGCGGGTCTCTAGCATGATCTTGGGCAGGTGTTTAGGACTGCGTTCAGGAAGTAAATCAGAAAGCCTGGGAATGCCAGGTAATTATTTGAAGAGGTTCCTAAGGAAAGGTAGCATTCTGAAAGCTGTGGTACCTAATGTCCTCAAATATCATTATACCAGGAATGGCACTGAGCCCTCCAAACCCTTTCTCTCACTTCTTATAGACAACATTTATCTCTGGGAGGAATAAGTACCAATAATCTATCAACTTAAAAAGAACTGATTTTTGAGATCTTACATAGCTGGTAATAGAGAGAGTGGTACTCAGGCTGCATTCTCGTCAAGTCTTCAGCCTGCATCTTTCCTTTATCGCATGCTTCCCTTTGACATTTGAAAGCATTTGCTTCACTCAAAGTCAGGTAGGCAGCAGAAACCCTTCATCTTCTTTCCTGGTGGTAACAGTGACCATATCAGTCAGCAGGATCATCACCGGGGTCTTTTACTTCAGACCTTCCAACTCTGTTGCTTTTTCAGATCTGGCTTCCCCCTAGACCTAGGACTAATTCTTACTTCCGCACCATCTGGTCCCTTCTTTCCTATTTTATTCTGGCTTCAGCCCTTAGTGTCTAGTCAACTACTTCCCACAAAAAAGAAACCTTCTTGTGTTTGGAAGAAATCTGGAATCAAAGGTGAAGAAAGTGAAGGAAAAAATCTGGAAGTGAGTAGAGAAAAGAGGATAGGAAATGTTCATGGAGATACTGGCACTTGTTCTGAAGTGGGCGAAAGGAGTCGGGCTGTCCAGGGACTGAGTTGCGTCTCTGAAGCTTTGGACATGCTGTGAGCCCAGAGGAGAGCATGCAGCTGCTTTAGTTTGTAGTTTTGAGTTTAAACCTCAAAAGAAACTAGAAGAAAGCAGAGCAGGAGTGGACTGAAGTGAACCTGGGAAGAATTACACTTCTGCAGCCATGTGTTTTGTGAGCTACTATAGCTGTTTTTTCCTCAGCAGGATTTTTTTTTTTTTATAGAAAATTAAAAAAAAAAATCTAGCAGGACTTTACTTGCTGAAGACATTGAAGTTACATGAAATGTGCTTTCCTAATTCGGGATGCTACTGAAATCTGGAAGCTCTGCTTTACAATGGAATCTATTAAATTGACGTTTTTGCATGGCTAGCATGTGGACGAATATGGCCTCTCCCTGTCTACGGTGCCTCCAGCCTCTCTCTTTCCTGCAGGGGTAAAAGTTTATTCTCCTGAAACGAATGAAGTTTAAATCTCAGGACCCCTCAATTGCCCGAGCTCCTCCGAGACCATATGTCTAATTTTGTATTTGTAGTTTTGTCTTCTTTTTCTTAAAGAGGGCCCCTCAAATTTTATAAGCTTTAGACTCCACAGAAACTGGTTACTGGGGTGGGGGGGTGTATAGGGTTGGGCTTCAGAAAAGGACATGATGTGGCAAGACTACAAATCCTTTTAGCACCAGCTGGCAGATTCTCCACCACTTGGTAAATACCCTGTCAGCATTATCACCCTTGACTTCACTTTACTACTCCACAACACATCTAAAAAAGAGTTAATCAGTGACAAATTCTTCTGTGATAAATTGCTTCCAAGATCTTTTACACAACACTCGGGCCAAGTAAACTTGAGAGGTTTAATACGTGCATGTATTAAGTGCTGCAAGACTTCAAGGAAGCTTTCAAGCCAATGAACTCTAAATTGTATGGAAAGGAAAATGCAGGGTGAGTTGTCCTTCTGATGCATTACTGTTCTTTAAAAACATTACTCATCAGTAGTTTTGGAATAAAATTGTCTTTCTGTTTTGTGGATACACTTTGTGTTTAGACCACTTCTATGACCACAAGCATGCATTAATGGGGAGGTAAAAATATATACCTGGGGTCTGCAAACTTTTTCTGTGAGGAGTCAGCTCATGAATACTTTCAGCTTTGTAGGCCATGCAATCTCCCTTGCAAATACTCAACTCTAATGCTGTAGCATGAAAACAGCCAGAGGTGGCTGGGTGCTGTGGCTCATGCCTGTAATCCCAGCACTTTGGGAGGCTGAGGTGGGTGGATCACTGGAGGTCAGGAGTTCGAGACCAGCCTGGCCAACATGGCTAAACCCCATCTCTACTAAAAATACAAAAATTAGCTGGGCATGATGGCACATGCCTGTAGTCCCAGCTTCTCAGGAGCTGAGGCAGGAGAATCGCTTGAATCCAGGAGGCGGAGGTTGCTGTGAGCCGAGATCGTGCTGCTGCACTCCAGCCTGGGTGACAGATGGAGACTCAGTCTCAAAAAAACAAAAAACAAGAACAGCCAGAGGCAAGACTTAAATAAGTGGTTTTGGTTGTGTTTCAATAAAGCTTTATTTATGGACTTTAAAATCTGAATTTCAATGTGTCAGGAAATAGTATTCTTTTGCATTTTTAAGAAATTATTTAAAAATATAAGACCATTCTTACTTCATAGGGTAAAGCAGTCTAGATTCAGCCTATGGACCATACATTCAAACCCTTGATATATAGTAATAGTGAAAAGAATAAACATTTTAGAGCATTCATACTTGGTTTTCAATTTTGAGTCTGTTGCTATTAGGTCAATGAAATTGTGCATCTGTGTTTCAACTCCCCGGATCCAGAGCTTTCTCATCTATAAAATGGGCTTGTTTAACTTGTTGGCAGGATTACATGAAACATGACATTTCAAAGCACCTAGCATAGTCTCTATGGAGTTGTAGTTCATCAATATATTCAAATTCTTTTCTGTTTTTTTGACTATTTATTTGACTGACTGACCGATTTGTTAACATAAGTATCTTGAACAGATATTGTACAGTCACAAAAACTGAAAAGAGTTTTGAAATTAAACATGAATTTTTAGGTATGCAAATTGGTGGGATAATATGACAAAAATCTCATTCATATTTGAATCAAAGTTTGTATCACCTTTATTTTAACATTGTTCTTTGGGGTCATGTCGTTTTCTTTGCATTCTTAAATTTTTTTATGTTTAAATCAAAGTATTTTACTTTTTTGTATTTGGTTTAATTCATATTATAATAATTAGGTGCTTCTCCTGTGAGTTTTTACCATATCTGCTCCAATGGGTTTACCTTGTGTATAGCCATGAGGACCTTGATAGTTGAGGACTGCAAATGCTACATGCCACTCTAATAGTGTATGTTTGTATATTATATCAATGTATGTGTCAAGGATGTAACTACATTAGTATACACTGAAGGTTTACACTGTTGACCAAGGCCACAGGAATCCATAGGAAAACTGGATTACTTCTAGACAATCTGCATTCAATTAGTTCTTAATAGGAGATATATTATAATTTTCATATTATTAATTAATTAAATAATAATATGTCAAATTTCTAGGACAAAGGGAAGAAGTAATGGACTTTAGACTCATTCAGGGAACTTTTTCAAAATACACACATTCTGATTTTTCACCACCAGCCTTCCCCATCTTTTCAAAATACAAAGAACCATGGGGTGGGGAGAGTGATTATTTGTATTTTGAATAATAAAAACTCCTTAGTTGAGTTGGACACAAACACACACACGCACACAGCACTTTTGGAGGTAAATGACATGGCTTTTCTATCTGTTTGGGTTCCTCCTAGTCAAGTAGTTATTTTGCTTCAATTCTTACTTTAGACGTGGAGGATTATTACCAGGGAGTTACATTCTATTTTCTCCAGGGCAGCAGTCAGAATTTCGATAATTTTTTCCTCCAGTCTTTGATGCTGGAAAAAGTTATTGAACATTCACTGAAGGTAGGACACTGCCACACACTGCGAGTTATAAAAAAGGATAAATGCTACTCCTCATGTTTGAGGAGGTAAAATATAATACCTAAGACTAGATGAGACAGGTACACACGTAAGCACATGTCACAATGTTAAGTGAGAGGTATGTGAAAGAAATACAATGTCCTATTGGAAATTGGATGATTGTGATATCACGTATGATTTCAAAAGCCAGGAAAGGTTTTATATATAATTGGAATTGCCATTTTAAAATGTTGCCAATGTTTAAGGAAATGAGTAAGTGGGCATTTCTTTATAATCTAGTGTTGCTCATAAATTCAGATTCTATTCATGCTATTGAAGTGTCAGGTACATCTTTATTTAAAAACGTTTGAATCATTCTCTTAGGAGTAGCATCCACAAACATTTTAACGCATTTGAAGGTGACAGATTTCCTAAAGCATTTTCTATCATTTTTTAAGAGCCTATAGCTATAAAATCCAGAATTTATTTAACATAATAATTCATCATTCCAATGCAAATTCCTCAAATGGATCAAGCCATATTAGATTTAGCTTTTTTTCCCCCAAATGAAAGATTTCATCATGGCACATTCTACATTTTCTGATTTTCATTAAACAGAGAGGAAAGAAAAAAAGCACTGAAAAATCCACCTATATCTATAATTTATGAAATAAAAGGAATAATCTCTAGAATGCTTACAAAGCATGAAAACCTAAATAGATTCAATGGATTTTGTTAAACTTTGTGCTCTTTAAGCAAGAATTGCCTTCTGGCTTGTACATATGAAAATTATAATTTTAACAGTAAGATGTATTTTAGGAAAACTGAACACCAATGGGAGATTTTTAATTTGATGCTAAATATGTTTATCAATTTCTTACATTTGTGTTTTAAACTCTTCAAATTCTTTAGCAAGACATTTTGATCACTTGTTAAAGTCTAGTTTGTTAGACTACACAGAAAAATTAGATAAGATTTAGTTCAATTTCATTGTGGGCAGCCCATGAAATATTTAATTTATAATAAAATGAATTTTGTTTCTCTCCAGATCCTCATTTCACATTTCACTAGAGAGACTTTAGTCATAGAGATATAGTGAGTGGAAATCCAAATTGCCTTTTGGAAATCTTTCAGTAAGGCCAGAGTTTTAAAAAAGTAAATGTTTGAGACACATATATTGAATCCAATTTCAATAACTATTTGAACTTAAGAGATAAGTAAGTCAAATCAAAAGGCAGAGAACTGGATGATATTTACCCCGATTTTGTAACTTTAAAATTTTTGCTGTAAAAACTTTTCTAATGACTTAAGAGAAACGCAATTAAGAGATGATAGGTTTGGGTAGTTGCTCTCAAAATATATGTTTTTAAAAAGAAATCATTAAATAAAGTTTTGTTACCTTAATTTGAACGGTTCTCTCACAGTTAAGAGGGTTTCTCTACCTGCAGGATTTGCTCATAGGGCACACGCACAAAAGTGTCACTTGTAGCATGCCAGTGACTCAAGAACTTCAAGAATCATCATCATATGTGATGAGAATGAGACAATAAAATGGAAATTCCAGAATGAGCATACCTTAAAGCTTTAATATTAATAGTGCTGTTACATGAACATTAGTAATTTGAGTATATATGTATATATATATATATATATATATATATATGTGTATATATATATATATATATATATGTATTTTCTGCACTATGTTTATTGACATAAATAGATGGGGAAATTTTATCTCTAGTACAAATCAATGGGTCCTGGGTAATAAAAAAAGAAATATTATACAAGCAATGGCCATATCCACAGCACTTCTATTTTCCTTGCATTGAACAATTTGTGTCAAAATAATTATTTTAAATTTTTCCTGTTATCTCAAATTAGTGACATATGTGAAGTAAATTGATTACTGTTTCCAAATTCCTTTCACATTTTTAAATTCGCATGCTCATTTATTTCAAGAAATAAATTCTATTGTATCCAATGTTAGGGTAGGTACCAAACCAAAAGTTCTAGCTATTCTAAAACTAGGTGTTCGGAGTGTAAAATTTGGTCCCTATTAGAAACCAAACTGTAAAGCATAACTATTGAGCATACATAATGCTGGTTCCCATAGTTTAAAACCTACCTTTAATGATCTAAGAAAGAGTTTTGTAATGTAAGACTGAAAAAAATTGTTAAATGAAAACTTATCAAAATCTATGATGAGTTTCATCATAGATTTTGTAGTAGATTTCATCAAAATCTACTACAGGCAGCTTACCAATGGCTAACCTAAGTCCTCACAATCACATTGTGTTATGTTCTGGCTAACACAGAGTTATTACTAAAATGTGGTTCTAGTATTAACCACCAACCTATCTGTGGATTGGGGGAATATTAGCTAGAAATATGAGTGGCATAGCTGTCCTTATCTCATTTGCTTCTTCACTCATTTTAAAGCCTTCTCTCTGCTTTTGTATTATTGCCTGGTCCATACTCTTGTGCCTTGGACAGAAAGTTTTTTCTTTCTTTCTTTTTTTGGTTACCCCAAATTCAGTCTTATGTAACAAGCATTCTTTCTGAGGTGTATAGACAAATATATATTTATATCTGTTTTTCTTATTTTTATTTATATTCGTAACTGCTATTAAGCAACTCACATAATGCAGAAACTACAGGAAGTAAAATTTCAAGTGACAGAATGCCTGAAAATATCTATGAAAGCTTATGCTGTTCCTTTGAAACTTTTTTTAAAAGAACATTCTAATGTTAGACAGGAAAAAAAAATGATATCTTCCAGTCCAAATAACTTTCTTCATTACTCAAGCACTTTTCCTTTCTTTTACGGCTGTTTCTTATCTACAGCTGCAGTGAATGGGGAGAAAATTCTAAGTTTTTAACCTTATAGTTCAAGGGTTGTGGTTTAACTCTTTCATATCTGTTAGTATTGGATACATTCTGCTACAAAAGGAATTAATTCCACATGAACAGAGAGCAAACCAGAAAAAAAAATATTTGAACCATCCAATCTGTGGGCCCAAATTGTATTTTTAGTATAAGTTTGTCATTTAACTTATATATTTAATACATTTAACTTAGATATTTACTTCTGAATGCATTAATTGAGCAATATAATTATAATTATCCATCCAGTTCCCTGCAACTTTCACCTATTGATCAGACCTATTGCAAATGGCAATAGGTCTGATCTAAAGACATAGATTTATAATAGCTCCAAATAACTGGAGAGAGATGTTGATTTTAACAATTACTCCCTTAAAACCCTTATTACGCTCTCTTTAATCCCAAAAATAACACCGACACAACAATGGAAAGATCATATTATTACCTTACTTTTACTGAAGAAAAACTGAAACACAAAGAAATTAATCTGGGCCATATCAGACAATGGCAATGGTAGAAGTAGGATTTCAATTAAGACAGTCGAGCTCCAGAGTATATGCCTGAAGGCGCTGCTACATGTGTATTCTGCGTTCATTCAACATTTAATAAAAGCCCATGTGTTAATCACCAACACAGACACAGAGATGCTCAGTTATAAAAATGAAGAAGAGGTATCCCCAAGGCACCCTGAGTATAAAAGTGACATGCAAAAGACAGTAAAAACGACAAAAATTAGTTCCATAAAAGTGTGTGCAGCGTACAATGGAAATAAAATGAAGAGATAACTGATTTAACTTTGGTGTAAGAGTGAAAATTTAAAAAGCCTTCCTAGAAGGCACGAATTCATGAACTGCAACTTAAAATCAGGTTAGTGTTTCTCAGGAAGACCAAGGAGAGTCAAAAGTGGAGTTGCCATATGAGCAAAGGGATAAAGAAATGAAGCCCAAAGAAATCACAGGAGGTTCCTTGCGATGGTACAGTAAGGCTTGAAGGCTGAGGGCAATACAAACTAACTCGTGAGAGTGATGGGAAAGCAAGTCTTGGAGGACTGTGCATAGCTTATTGAAGAATGTAAAAACTTTCTTACAGAAATTGGATACTCACTGAAGATTTTAAGCCCAAAAGATCTGGGGTCGAAGGCTGGACCCCAAATGTGCACAATGATGTGTAAGGCGCTGGAGTCCTAGAAGTCTCAGTTCTGTCACTTGTGAAGTGCAGATTATTCATACCTACTTCATGGTGTTTTATTTTTTGATACAGGGTCTTGCTTTGTCACCCAGGCTGGAGTGCAGTGGCGTGATCTTGGCTCACTGCAGCCTGGACCTCCCATGCTCAAGCAATCCTCCAGCCCCAGGACCCACAGTAGCTGGATCTCCAGGCACGTGCCACCAAGCCAGGTTAATTTTTTTTTTTTTTTTTTTTTTTTTTTTGAGATGGAGTCTCGCTCTGTCACCCAGGCTGGAGTGCTGTGGCTCGATCTCGGCTCACTGCACGCTCCGCCTCCTGGGTTCACGCCATTCTCCTGCCTCAGCCTCCCGAGTAGCTGGGACTACAGGCGTGTGCCACCACGCCCGGTTAATTTTTTGTATTTTTTGTAGAGTAGCTAGGACTACAGGCGTCTGCCACCACGCCCGGTTAATTTTTTGTATTTTTTGTAGAGACACGGTTTCGCTATGTTGCCCAGGCTGATCTCAAACTCCTGAGCTCAAGCGATCTGCCCACCTAGGCCTCCCAAAGTGCTGGATTACAGGTGTCAGCCACCACTCTCGGCCTTCATGGCCTTTTGTGAGAAGTGAGACAATCATATGTAACATACATCTGATTCTTTATCCCCGAGTTGAGAAGGAAAGGAGAAGCAGAAAGAAGGTAGGCAGGTAGGCATGTCTGTGTGTGGGCGGGGGCGGGGAGGGGGTAGGCTCCCTAGTCGTTTCAATGGTTGTGTAGTCTAGATTAAGGCAAATGAGGGCTCCTCTTTATGCGTTAAGGCAGGATTGCACTTCCTTACTCTCCTTGAACCCAGACATAACCATTGACTGGCTGGTCCAGTGAGCTGTTAGCAGAGGAATATGTCTAGCTTTAGATGGGAGCACTTAATTGCCATGATAATACCACCCAGCCCTCTCTTCTGCTGCTGCAATGTTCATGGAAGCTTCTTTGGAGGAAGGTCTGTGTCCTGCTGGGTCCCCAAGTGATTGTGTGCTCCACTCTTAGCTCCTGCTGGGCCTGTATTATGAGAGGAGAAGTTCTTGTTGAGATAAGCTGCTGTGAATTTGAGAGTTGTTCCCAAAGCATAACGTATTCCATCTGATTATACAGAGGTCAAACGGCTTCGTAGAATTGCAGTTGAGTACAGTGTCTCTCACTTGGGGACATGGGAAAATAGGATAAGTGATTGCTGAGGGATGAATGCAAACTGAAGTTTCAATAACTGTGAAAGACAAGAGAACAATTCCAAACTGGAATACTTACTTCAAAAGAAAATAAAAATTACATTAATAAGCTGGAAGAAATCTAAACCAGTCCCTGGCTGGCTGTGTGCTACCCCATGATGGGGTTAATATGTGTGTCTGAGGAACATCTGGTTGAAATAATCTGGTTGAAACTAACATGATGCCTAGCATATAAGGTAAGCTTGACAAATAGTAGTTGCTTTATTCATCTTCCAATTTCTTCTTTTATAAGATCCCGTTTGCTACTTATTTACCAAAGGGCTAGAATTGTTTGACCTAAGAAACCTTAAAAATGCTGTCTATGTAATGAGTTGCTTCTGCAATTTAGTGTTCCCAGAGTTAAGCACTTCACATGCAAACTTAAGTGTGCTGAGTCATTCACTTTCCTCCATTCAGTATCCAGTAGTGAATAAGCCATGAGCTCATGCTTTTCAACTTAGAAAAATACGAGTACCAAATATCTTCATCCCACATAGTTTTATTCCTTCATTGCTGCATTGTACAGATGTCTACAGGATGTTTCTAATCACAGCATTTCATTTGATGACTATATGGAGGCAGACACTTTGACCTTATTAACATACATAAATTGTTGGCTCTGATGACTATACAGTCATTGAAGGGCTGTACATCTGATTAGCATGTGTAGTGGGAGTATTTTTTTGTGTAACATATTATGATGTGTTAGAAAAATTCTAGTAGACTATGGAATAGTCTATAGAATTTCTATAGCTTAATTTATAGAATAGATTGTGGAATGACATCTAACACTCAGAGATGGACAATCAGAAGAGAAGTCACAAGTCATGATGGGTCCAGAAACATATGTAAGTGTGCAGCACAAGGAGTTGAAGCTTGAAGTTTTATCACAATCAAGTATCCAGTGATTTAGAGAAAATACAACTCACCAGTAACTGGCACCAGAATCTCACTCATTCTTTGCCTTTCTTTTTGTGTGTGTGTGAAAAGGGATTGGCAGGAGAGATTTTAGAGGATTGTACTGAATGCTCTACGAGGGCAAAAAGATGAATTAGACATAATCCAAAAGTTCACAGAGTTTAAGCATGACAGTTAAATTAATGTATAAGAGTATCCTAGCATGGGATGGGGTTTTGGAAAAAAAAACAGAGGTTGAAATGAATACTAACAGTTTCAGTCTGAAGTAATGTGAGGAGCAATAATAACATCATGGAGTTAGTAGAGGTTTTAGCACTAAAATAGTCCAATCTTTCAACTCATCAAGAATAATTTACAAGGCTAAACATCCCTCATGACTTGAGAACATGTTATATCTAAACTTTATGATAAGGTTACCAAGTAGTTTATTAACCTTAAATCTTACATTTAGCAATCATCTTTTCACTAATGAGAAAGTTCTAGGTACATTATACATTTGAAGTCATACACTAAAAAAAAAGTTTCTTAATGTTTAATAAGCTGAATTCCACCAATGTTTACATGACAAAATAAAAATAAGGGCAAACATAAAAATTGGAATAGATATTTTTCCTAGAAATTAATTTTACATCTATTCAAAATTAAGAAGCCCATTGTATAGTGTAATGACCTTTCATAATAGCAATATCTAGACTCTATGTGCTAAGAGTGTAAGGTTAGAGCACCAGGATTATAAGCCTGATCTAAGCTTGTGCCTCAAATTTCAGGAATCCTAAATATCATCCACAAAACTTTTTAATACTGCATGATAATGAGAAAACAATACTTTGGTTATCTAACTAGTTTATTTACAAGTTTAGGGATATTCAGTACAGTGCTGTCTCAAACATATTATGTTTCATAAGTGGATCAAAAGTGGATACCATAACTCACTTGATTTTACTGTCATCATTGAACACAATTTGTTGTTATTTTGATACATAATATAGGTGATCTATATTTTTTAGTGTTTCCATCATAAAAAAATATATTTTAAATTGACCTCAAATTATTATTATTATTATTATTTTGAGACGGGTTATTAATTATTATTTTGAGACACAGTCCTGCTCTTGTCACTCAGTCTGGAGTGCAGTGATGCAATCATGGCTCATTGCAGCCTCAGCCTCCTAAGTTCAAGTGATCCTCTTGCCTCGGTCTTCCTAGTAGCTGCGATTACAGGTGCAAATCACTGCTCTAGGCTAATTTTTTATTTTTTTTTTGTGGAGACTGGGTCTTGTTATGTTACCCATGGTGGTCTTGACCTCCTGGACTCAAGCGATCCTCCCGTCTTGGCCTCCCAAAGTGCTGAAAACATTGTGCCCTGCCGACCACGAATTACATTGTAAATGCCTTTAAGTGACAGCTATGGAGAGAATTTAAAGGAGAAATAAGAAAAAAAGGTTGCTGAGAGGTATTAACTACTAGAACAGGTGACATATCCACTTTTCAGTGTCTTTATAAAAGAGAAAACTCTTGCAAATTAGGATTAACTGGTAGTGCAAAAGCAATAAAGTAATGTCTGAAGATGTAAAGGCAAGTAAGAATTTTAATGCAACTTTAAAATAAGGTCTGCATTTACATTGAGTCGTTAATCTCTATAAGACAGTTGACAGGTTTGTATAAAAAATAGAAGCCACATTAAATTGTGTAGATTCAGAAATATTTAGAGGTCAGATTATTTAAGATAGTAATGTATAAGGCATGGCTCTATTTCTATAAAATATAAACTTACTAAACATTTTTCAAAAAGTCTCTGGCAGAATGTATACTCTTTTGAAGATGATTAAAACATGGCTTTTAATTTTTATAACTCCTCTCATTGAAATTGCTTTCACACTCAGTTTATAATGCACTTGAGGTGAAATAAGAATCATTACTAGGTAGTTAGATCTTCTTGACATCTGAGTTCTCTCTAAAAAAACACACTTATTGTCAAAAAATAAAGCTTTGCCAACACTGAAGATATTAAAAAGAAAATGCTGCTGGTCTAGAGGTAAGATGAAAGAGGACCAAATAAAGTGTTTTGAGCAATGACAGCATCACTGAAATAAATGGACATCTTTCCTTGGAAATTCTGTGTAGTTGACAGTGTTCATTTGTTCAGGGAAGAAGTGTCTGGCGGGTGCAAAAAAAAGAGCTTCCATACATTCCATTCTCTTTCACAGTTGATTCTTTTTTATCGGGAGCTTAAATGTAGTGTCATCTAAGGTTCTGCCTTCTGCCCTCATTTTTTTCCCATTTGATAATATCTCTTGTATATCTCAGCGATGTCACTGGCTACAGTTGTCACCGTTATGACCACCAAATTTATACCACCAGGACATATCTTTTTTCTTGATTTTACAACAATGCATCCAGCCTCTTGTTGGGCTTCTCCAAACACTTGCATATTCTACAAATACCTCCAGTTCAACGTGACTGAAATGAAGCTCATCATTTGCAATCTTACAAGACCCTCAATGTGTTTTTATCCCAGTTCAGTGGAGGCAACCACCATGTGCCCCGTTAGTCAAGCCAGAATGAAGCACACCCTACATTCTTTATTCACTCTTCTTCCCTGCCTCAACAGGCCATCCAGTCTTCTTCTAGAATATATCCTCAGCACCCTTCTTTCCCAGTATCACTTCTTGATTCAGGTCCTTGCCATTTCTACTTGATATATAACAGACTTTGGATTGGTCTTATTGGCTCCTGCTTCTTTCTTAACCTATTTTCAACTGTTACTAACTTTTCTAAAATGAAAATAATATCACATCATTCGCCCCATTACTCCAAAACAAAATGCTAATGTGTTTCCTTGAACTTTGGCAGAAAGTTTAGGTTTCATTTCCTCTGTGTGAAATGGCCTTCCTCTCTGTCCACTATGTGCTGTTCTGTTGGTTGTGTAGTGAACTACCATGCACAGTGGGCTAGCTTTCCTCTGATTTCTGTTTCCAACTTCCATGAGACTTATGTTAGTGCCACATCATGTGAGATGCCCATCTTGTGTAACAGGGTAAGTTACTGTTAGGTAACCTTCCATGTCTGGAATTTGCCTGTTTTCTATAATAAACTGGGCTTTTCTTTAGGAAAAACAAAATCTCTATCTCTCCAAGACCTAGCAGAAAGTCTTCAGGTGTTCAATTACTGGTTGAATTAATGAGGGTCTCCCATATTTTAGAAGCTGTAAAGAAAAAAAAATGAAAAAGACAACCCCCTTATTGCCTGATGTGAGTGGTATAATTCTGCATTTATTTCAATGGATACAGTGGAAATTAAAATTATATTGTGGTGACAATCTACTATTTTAAATACAGAGGGGATTAAACAGCCTAATTCATTTAAATAATCTCCATGCAGAATATCCATCAGAGCACTTAAAAATTACGAACAGGTTTAAAGGTCCCATTAGCGTTTTAAAATACAGAATTCAACAAAAGCATGGAAAAAGGCTACATTTTACTGTTTTTAAAGTTTAAAGAACAAATGTAATTTACATGTGAGTACTAGCATAGCTAATACTATCGTCTGCCACTGACTAGTGCTTAGAATAACACATTTTTAAGAAAATTCTTATAAGCACGGATCATGGAGACCTCCAAAATGAAAAAAATAGTAAGACAAATATATATTAAAACATGAAAATTTAAGATTTATAATTTGCAGTTCCTCCTCAAGTATCCTCATAATAGCACCACGATTAACTAAAATCTGAAAACAAGAAAATGACTTAGCTGACTTTAAGTTATGTGGATTTCAAATATGCCTGTAGATCTCATTTAAAAATATATTTATATAAGTATTTTAGTAATTTTTCTCTGAGTTTAGATGATTTTTATAAAAACCATTTCAATCAAATAATTCAGAATAAAGCCCATATACATAAAACATGTCATTCAACGAGGTAGATAAAATTTTACCCCTAAATCCAAAATATCCTCAGGAGTACTTCATATTTTAAAAACATACATTTTACATTGTAATGTTTACATTTTGTATCAGAATTATAAAAACTAAGGTTAATTAATAAACATTGGAAAACCCAAATTTCAAGACTTTAAGATATCTGAAGATGAACCTTAAGATCATACTTCTCACTTATGAATTTTCATAGGTGTATTCTCCCAAAGTGTCAATAGTGAAGTTAGAAGAGATTAAGGCTTTAGATGATATTTTAAAACTGGTTACATTAGGCAAATATAAAATATTGCAAATACAGAAGTGTATATATTTGAGATAGATACAATGCTTCCTGGGCCTCAGGGGGCCCCATTTTCCAACACCTAGAGATAAGTGTCCACCCTCCTCTGTCATTACAGATACGTATGTGAACAAATTTGAGAAGAGTTTCAGGCAGCTTAAGCTGAGTTGCACATTGCAAATCCACCCAAGGCTATTGTTCAATTATTCATGAGAATAAAGAAGCAGGCGTACAACTTCTCTACTTTATCCCTGGCTAGGTGACTTTAGATGGAAGAAACCGGTGGAAACTACTTCCATTTCACTTCACAGAAATCCTTAATATATTGATAGACCCTCAAGTACCTTGTCCAAGACTAGAAACATAATAGCACTTGCAACAGCACTAATTCCCTGAGTGACAATCAACTGTGTAGAATTTGCCACTTAATTATCATCACTACAGTAGTGTATTACTTGTATGACACTTCATAAATTCTTGTTCCTGATGTTTCAAAACCTATATATTTACTAAGTTTCCATTTTTTTCTTATTTCATTACATAATTACTGTTGATATTATTACTAATATCAATTTAGGATTTGATTTTACATTAAAGAAATGCAAATTAAAATCACAATAGACACCATCTTACACCAGTCAAAATGGCCATAATTAAAAAGTCAAAAAACAACAGATATTGGCAAGGCTGCAGACAAAAGGGAACATGCATACACTGCTGGTGGAAATGTAAATTAGTTTGGCCACTGTGGAAAGCAGTTTGGAGATTTCTCAAAGAACTAAAAACAGAACTACCACTAAACCCAGCAATCCCATTACTGGGTATACACACCAAGTAAAATAAATCACTGTACCAAAAAAACACATGAACTCTTATGTTCATCCCAGCACTATTCACAATAGCAAAGACATGGAATCAACCTAGGTACTCACCAATGATGGATTGGATGAAGAAAATGTGCTACATATACACCATGAAATACTCTGCAGCCATTAAAAAGAATGAAATCATATCCTTTGCAGCTGGCGATCATTATTATCCTAAGCCAATTAATGCAGGACCAGAAAACCAAACGCTACCTGTTCTTACTTATAAGTGGGAGCTAAACGTTGGGTACATATGGACATAAAGATGGAAGCAATAGATACTGGGGACTGCTAGGGGGAAGGGGAGGGGGTTGGGGGCAAAGGCCGACAAGCTACTTATCAGGTACTATGCTCATCACCTGGGTGATAGGATCATTTGTACCCCAAACCTTGGTATCACGAAATATACCCATGTAACAAACTGCACAAGTACTCCCTAAACCTAAAATAAAAGTTAAAATTATTTTTTAAAAATATTTGATCTTATAACATAGCAACATTTTTAGCTAAATTAGGAATATACCTTGTTCATAATATATCTAAGAACAATAACTGATTTTAACTGTTTTTAAAATCTGTATGTATGGTAAGCACATGTACTTAATGAATGAGTTTGGAAGGATGAGTTGAGCTGCGGAACAAGACACACAATAGATTTTCACAATTTCTAAAATTCACATTTATCTCATATATGTATAAATATATATATACACACACATATACACTATGACATATACACACATCCACACATATATATCATGATGTATGCTCATATCCACACATATAATATTATATATAGTTTTATAATGTATTTTTAAAAGATCTCAAATTACATTTAACATATTCATTATAGATAAGAAAATGATACTAGCAATACTTACCGTAATTCATTGTTCCTTGGAAAATCTTTAGGGTCAATTGAAGATACAAATTTATGCAACTGAAGATACAAATTGCAGATAAAAATTAATTGTAATACAATACATTTAAATCAATTTTACTTATTATTACATATTTTTAGTATATTAAAAATTGATGACATTGAAAGCAGTAGTATAATTTTTTCAACATCAATTTCTATATAATGGTATATAAAACACACAAAATATCCGCTGTGATGTGATCCTTATGAATTGGTCAGCTGTAGATCTTCCTAAGCTGTTTATCTACTATATATCTGAGTTAACCTTTCATGTCTATTTGTAGAAGAAAGCTAAAACCACCTCTTAAAATTTAAAACAAGGAGAAATGAAGATAAGCAATACAAAGGCATATGTTGGAAGAAGCTGGGTTTGAAGACAGACGAAGCTGATTTCTGATTTTTTCCTTGGCCAATTATTTAATACAGCATGACTACATAAGCCCTGAGATTCATTTTGCTGATTTATAAAATGGGGTTTCAAAGCCTACCTCACATATTATCTGGATTTGGAGAGGTCAATGGAGTCAGAGCTTAAATAGTGCTAGGATCATAGTTATAGGCACTCAGAAAATTATTACTATTTTATAATAATTATGAAACACTTGAGAGTTTTGAATAACTTTCTATTTGTATTTTTTCCCCAGTAGAAGACTCAGCAATTATTTTGCTCTAAGTATCTCAACTGTAGAAAATTTTTGAACCTGATGTTTTTATGTCTTTTTTTTTTTTTTTTCTAGAAATGGGATCTCACTCCATCACTCAGGCTGGAGTACAGTGCTGAGATCAAGGCTCACTGCAGCCTTGAACACCTGGACTCAAGTGATTCTCCTGCCTCAGCCTCCTGAGTAGCAGAGACTACAGGTACACACCACCACACTTGGCTAATTTTATCTCCATCTTTTATTCTTTTAGAGAAAGGGTCTTACTTTGTTGCCCAGACTGGTCTCAAACTCCTGGCCTCAAGCGATCCTCCCACCTCAGCCTTCCAAGTAGCTAAGATTATAGGCGTGAGTCACTGAGCCTGACACTTTTATCTTTTTATGGTGATTCTGTAATTAGCTCAAGTTGGAAACACAACAACAAAAATCAATAGATGACATTTATATGAACGTGTCTTCCATATTATGCCTTAAATGATCTCAATGTTTCCTGGAAATGGTGCCTTTTATAAAAATATTTTGACTTTAAATGCAGAGGTCAAAATTAGATAATTTGTAAAAGGAAATTTATTTTAGAAGACTCCAACATGCAGCTTAATAAACGTGAATATAATACATTTTTATGAGGTTGTTTTTATTTGCTCTTGGGTCTATAAAAATATCTGTTTTTTCTGTCTTGACCTATGAATATTTATCGTATTCTCTTGAATAATCTCACAAGGATGCTGAGTCCAGGTTCACCCTGGCAATGAGCACATGCAGGACTGCTTAGGTGGTATGAGAAAACTGGGCTTGTTTCATGGTGAGTGTATACATAAATATCCTAAATCCTACTATTTAAGCCCATCAAAATTGGTCAGTGGAAGGTTCAAAAAGTGCATTTAAAACCCTTAAAATGTCATACAATGATAAAAATATCTTAGTGTTCAAAATAAATTATTTTTCATCTTTTCTTTGATTTAATGTTTGAAAATACTCTGTATCTGAACAAAAAAATACTGAAAATTTGTTTTACCAAGGCATAAGGAACTAATTATTGAGCATCAGGGTCTAATGATATTAGAACAGGAGGGGAACAACAGAGAAACAAAGGGCATTGGAAATCTTGTTCATGAGAAAAAAGGTAGAAAATGAGAAAATGTGTTTTGCATTACTGGTTATATGGATCTTTGTATTTACGTACTTGTGTTTTAAGTTGTCCTTGTGAAAATTGATGATGATGGCTTCAGATACAAAAGCTAGTGGAAGAGAGTGTACTTTACATTTTACTCACTGATGTTGCAAGTTATCAGATGCTATTAGGACCTCTTTTAGAAAGATTTATGATAATACGTATTCATCACAAAGCCCATCATTCTGGAGAACAGAAAGTGATGCTGCATTCATTTTGTGTGATTAATGATTTGCATGTAATGAGGAAAAACGTTCAGGACTAATCTACAATTGTAAATGAAAATGAACTTTATAAAGAGATTTTTCTTGTTAATGTCAACAAAAGAAAGAAACCCTGCATATGTGCAATATTTGCAAGTATTTACATCAGGTAACAAGAACCATTATATCAAGCAATAAGACTATCTGTTAATTTGTATCATAATTAAAGATTCACATTCTGTAATACCTCAGACCTCTAAGCATGTTTAATAAAATTTAGGTGGTGTATTTATTTTGCTATCCCAGATAGGATATTAATGAATGGGCTGATTCAAACCTAATTTGCATAGTAAGTGAATATAATTAAAACCAGTCTTTCATTAAAATCTCACAAGAAAATATTTAATCTGTAGCATATTTTCAGGAAGGCAAGTAGCAGAGCTTATCTTCAGGTCTAGCACATTCTATAAAATCAGTCGAATAAGAAAACAACTTAGGCATATTGTTTGGTTATTTCCTTGCCACTGGGCTTTGGCATCATAATCACTTATTTTGGGCAAGTGTGATCTAAACTTCATTATGATGTTAAAACCCTGTAAACATAAAATGAGAAATGTTGTTTTTATTGCTGGCATAGATATTTGTTTTCCTTATTGACCTGTGGGAATTTGCTAGTTCAAATTGCACCCTCAAGTTGGAGAAGAACATAGTTCATGAACCAAATCCATATCAATGTTAAAAAATTTGGTTCTCATGGTATCAAACTAATCATTACTTTAAAGTTTTCCAACCTTGAAAATATTATGAAATACTCATTTTTGTTATATAGAACAAAATAACTTTTATTTCACTTAAAATATTGTTGAGGCAAGTTCCTTAGAAAATTCAAAATACTATACTCTTCACTAATAAAACTGTTCTATTTTTTCTGACTTCTTTTTGATATATGGATCAGCTCTGTGTGGTTGATCTTTCCTTCTCTGAATATGGCCAAATCACTTTCAGTATGCTATTTAACTGGGGTGGGTTAAAACAGGGTCATTGATTGCCTGTTCTCTGATTAATTTTTAAAAGCCGTATTTCTTTGGGTCTCATCATAAAATCTATATCCTTTAGTTATCCGATGCCTCCTTCTGAATACTGGCTTTCTTTTCCTTTTTTTCTCTTACCTTTTCACTTACCTTTCATGTCTTTATTCTCCAGTGGTCTCCTTTCCCTTGAAACACCCTTTCCTCTTGTTTCATATTGATTTCTAGTTTACTTATGGCTCTGTATAGATTAAATACCTTGAGGAGTAATGGATAAGGTTTCTTTGACTGTTTGACTCCAAACCCTTCCTCTGCTACATTCTGATCCTTGATCTTTCTTTATCCACTCTCTAAAATTGACCTATTATGTGTATTCAATTAGTATTTTCCTGCAACTTGAAGTATGAAGTTTAGTGGAACAGACTTCTCTCTTGGTGTGGTAAGAAGTGTTACAGCATAATTACATACAAATTAGAGCTAAAATAAACAAAAAATACAATGAATTACACCACAGAGACCTCTTACACTCTTAACATTAAATACAAGGGGGAAAAATTCTTCCTTGTTACATTATCATATAGGGTCTTCCTTACAACTTCCTGACACAAACACAGATGCTGTGTAGCCTAATGGCTAAGATGCCAAGCTGTAAGGCCACACGAGTGGGTTCAAATTCCAGTTCTTCTATATGAAGGAGTTCTTCATAAAGCTCCATGAACTCAAGTTGCGTTGTCCAAAATTAGAAAGGACTGAAGTACTTCTGGTATCTTACCTTGTTGGTACCTACCTTGTAAAAATTACGGCATGCAGAAAAAGAATATTTGCTCCAGGGGGTGGATACATTCATTTGTAAAAGGAAGTAGGGAGAAGGACTAACCCCCAAAGCCCACTTTTCCAAATTCAACAGTCAGATAAATCACTCCTATCCCATGGAACACATGTGTATAAGGATAGGGCAAGAGGCCTAGAGTGTTATCCTAGAAGAGTTACTGCAGAGGGAACCATGGAGCTAGGGTAAACAGGTTCTCACATGAATTATGCATGATGAATGCACAAAATATTTTCTCTATAATTTATCCTTGCAACCTATGAAACCATTAATAATGTTATTTTAATTAGCCTCCAAAACAGTCTATAAGTCTTTTTACTATCTTAAGTATTCTTATTCATGATATCTTATTAATAGTGACAGGAGGCAGAGAAATTCTATCCAAAAAAAAAAGGTAGGGTCCCTGGCGAAGCCCCACCCTCAAGCTGGAAATCCTGAGACCACGGCCCAAAGTGAGAACTTATATCCCTTTTCCCCACTTGAATGTTGCCTTTTCCTAAGCCATCCATGGCCCTGCCCAACTCCATCCTGTGCCTATAAAGACTCCAGACTCAGCTGGCAGAGAGGAAGAACAAGCTGGACATTGGAGAGAAGTGGCTTGACTTCAGAGGGACAGCTTGACGGCATAACTCCTGAGAAGAATCCAGCCAGAGATGGCTGGACTTCAGAATAAGATTAACTGCACACCTCCCCACTCCCATCATCTTCTTTCAGCTCCTCTTCCCACTGAGAGCCACTTTCACAAGCAATAAAATTCCCCACATTTACCATCCTTTAATTTTTTCCTGCAACTTCATTTTTCCTGGATGCCAGACAAGAGCTCAGGAGCAAGTGTGGATACAAAAGGGCCCACTAAGCCATTAACACTTAAGCTGTCTGTGGATGGCAGAGCTAAAAGAGCACTGTAACATGCCTACTGGGGCTTCAGAAGTCACATGCACCTCCTCTAGATATTGCCATGGGACCTGCACCAAGTTTGCTCCTGCTGGTGCCTAAAAGTGCTTGCCCGGGCTCCTGCACTCACTCACCTGCATGCTCCCTCCCATGAGGGGTGGAACATAGCAGGTCAGAGTGCATGGAGTTCGCTCCTGCCAGTGCCAAAGCAGCCAGCTGGTTCCAGCACTCGTGTACTCCAGTTTCTGCCTTGTCGACTCGCAAACTCCCTCCTGCAAGGAGTTGAGAGTGGTAAGCTGAATAAATGGGGCACTCATGTCACAAGTCCCATAAAGAAGTCAGGAAAATATCCTGCTTCATCATTATGATAAAAAAACTATCATAACCCCAAATGCAGAAATACCATTTATATATAGGTTAAAATACCATTTAACAAAAATTTTAACATTGTATTTGAAGAAAAATTTGACAGAACTGAAGGAAAAAATAGCAGCCCGATAATTGTAGGATACTTCAATAGATCACTTCCAATCATGAGATCAATCAAGTAGTAGAGGACCTGAACAACACCATAGACCAGATGAATCTAACAGACATACACAGAACACTCTACCCCAAAACTGCAGACAATATATTCTCCTGAAGAGCACCTGGAACATTCCCTATGATAGAATACATGTTAGACCAAAAACAAGTCTTTACATATTTGAGAAGATTGAAATCATGCAAAGTGTATGTTATAATAACAATGGAATAAAACTAGAAATCAATAGTGTGAGGAAAACCTGAAAATCTACAAATATGTTGAAAATTAGGGACACTCTGAAACAACCAATGGGTCAAAGAAAAATTACGAGGAAAATTAGATAATGCATTGTGACAAATGAAAATGAAAATGAAAATGCAACATAAACTTATGGGATGCAGTGGAAGAAGTATAAAGAGAAAAGTTTATAGCTGTAAATGCATACACTAAAAAAGAAGAAAAATATCAAAAAAGAAGAAAGGTTTCTCTCTCTACAAAAACTTGGGAAGTTTTCAGCTATTGTTTCATTAAATACATTTTCTGCATCTTTTCCTGTCTTTTCTCTTTCTGGGATGCCCATAATATGAATATTTGTACACTTAATGGTGTCCCATAAATCCATAAATCCTGTAGGCTTCTTCATTCTTTTTTATTATTTTCTCTTCTTGTCTGCGTGTGTTATTTCAAAAGATCTGTCTTCAAGTTCAGAAATTCCTTTTTTTCTTGGTCTTGTCTGTTATTGAAGCCCTTACTTGTAGTTTTATTTCATTCATCAAATTCTTCAGCTCTAGGACTTCTGTAGGCTTCTTTTTGTGATGAAGTGCCCTCACTTTCCCTCTATTACAATTATTAAACCCTGTGTTTTTACCAGCAACACATCCACTTGTGCAGCACATTCTATCCTTCCTCACCTACTTAAAATAATTGAAAAAAAAAGTTGCTTTAAAAAAAATCATTGCTCTGGCAACTTGATTTTGTGTGTTAATTATTGTCAAATCCCTCTCACATCATTATTTGCATCAGTATACAAACAACCTATTTCTCTAATTATTTTAATAAGCAAAAGCAGAAACAAGACACACTATGTCTTAACAATTTTTAAAATTATATGTCTATTAAAAATCAAGAAACAAACTAAAAGATACTATTTTATTTACTCATAATCCTATTCTTATTATTTGTCCCCTCAGGGGTCTGTTAATGTCAGTTCTCCTCTGGATAGCACCACTTTACTTTACTTCTATTTACAAAACTCCTTGGAAAAGTTTTCTATACTAATTTAATTCTACTTACACTTTTCTCTTGAACTCACTCCAACTGGGGCTTTTTTCTCCACAATTTAATAGCTTTTGTGAGGGTTCCCATGACCTTCCTGTAACTATTTCCATGGTGAATTCCCAGTTTTCACCTTACTTGAACCATCAGTAGCATTTGACATAGTTGAGCACATTCTTCTTCTTGATATACTTTCCTTTGCACAGTTACCAGAATATTACACTAATCCCCAGCTAGCATTCTGGATATTTCAGTTTTCCTTGAGTTTTATTAGTTTTTGCTTCATGTATTTTGTAACTTTGTTGTTTGCATAATTCAGATGTTATTTATGCACTGGTTTCCAATAAGCTAGATATGAATCAACTAATCATTTTGTATTGTTTTTATGGCGTTTTACAATGATTGTCATGCCCACCATTTTTACCCATGTTTATCCTTCCTGCATAATTTATGTTATTATCTACTTAATTAAAAAGTATTTTGTTATGTAATTGAGTGGGTGAACCTTGATATAAACCACTCACGATTCATTTAGTCTCTGGAATATTTCTAACTTAATTTGAAAATAGCTATTCATTTTATTTTGATTTATTGCATTTCTTTGAGTTTTATTTCTCATGTGTTTAATATTTTCAGACATGATTGACTTTGCTGAATTTACCAAATAAGTCTCTTTTCCCACCTGATTACTCTCCCTTTTAACTTCAGGTGAATTTTAGCTTGTGTCCAAATTTTTTTTCCAACTCGATGTTTACTATCTTGGAGGATGGAGATTTATCGAATTTATTATAATCACTGTTGATTCCAACAAATCTTACTTTTACTCTTTATTATTCATATTTCTGTATTGATTTTTCTTTCCTGACTTTTTATATTTTATTAACTTTTTATTGTAGTTGTTTTGTTATATCAAGAAGGATATATATATCTCACAATCTTTTAGAATCTAATAATTTAATTTATTTTATTTGTTTTCCTATCAATGACTAGATAAGATTTTCCCAAAGAACAAAAAAAGTAGCAAATTTCCACTTATTTTACTTTTATATCACTTTCCCTTTCAGATTGAGCATATTCTGAATACCAATGATAAATTCTCATTTTTAGAAGAATTAATAATTGTTTTGATAACACATTTAATAATTTCTTGGTACACTAATTTTTTTAAATTCATGTCTTTATTTGTATTGAAATCCATTTTTACAAAGTTGGAGTGTATACTTAAGATCTTCTTTCATAGTTTATGGAAAGCAGTCATTCTGAGGCTTTGTGTATTAAAACAATCCTTTTATTCTCTCTTAATCATGAAAATTTGGCTAGTAATATAACTCTATGCTCATATTCCACTAGAGGTTTAAAATAGTCTCTCTTTCTTCTAGCATTAATTATTGCTGAATGAGAAGTTAGAGTCTTCCCAATAAGATCCTTGTTCCTTTATCTGTGACGTTCAGAGTTTCCATCACATTATGTTTAGGTTTTATTAATTTTCTTTATGGAATGGTTTTGGTGCCCATTCAATTAAAAGGCTCATATATCTTCTTCTCTGTTTTTTTATTTTTTTCATCTAATTATCTTCTTCAACTTCTTTCTATTGATAACTTCTTTCACTTCTCTTAGATGGGCGTGTTAGTCCATTTTGTGTTGCTTAAAGAAATACCTAAGACTGGGTAATTTATAATGAAAAAAGGTTTATTTGGCTTATGGTTCTTCAGGCAGTAAAAGCATGGCATTGGCATCTGCTTGGCTTCTCCTGAGGCCTCAAGAAGCTTTTATTCATGGCAGAACGTGAAGGGGGAGAAGGCGTGTCACAGGGCAAGAGATAGGTGGAGGATCCCAGATTCTTTTTAGCCATAGATCTCTTGGTAACTCATTACCATGGGGAGGGCACCAAAGCATTCATGAGGAATCCACCTTCATAACTTAGCTCCCATTAGGCCTCACCTCCAACATTGGGGATCACATTTCAACACGACATTTGAAGGGAACAAAACATCCAAAATATGGCAAAAGGTATTGGGCTCCTGGTCTCTTCCTGTCTCTCAATAATTCTTTCATATAATTTTCACTTTATCCTTTTTATTTTCTCTTTGAGACAGAGCCTCATTCTGTTGCCCAGGCTGGAGTGCAATGGCATGATCTCAGTTCACTGTGACCTCTGCCTCCCTGGTTCAAGTGATTCTTCTGCCTCAGCCTCCCAGGTAGCTGGACTAAAGGTGCGCCACCGTACCAAGCTAATTTGGGGGGTGATATTTTTAGTAGAGAGAGGGTTTTGCTGTGTTGGCCAGGCTGGTCTGGAACCCCTGGCCTCAAGTGATCCACCTGCCTTGGCCTCCTAAAGTGCTGGGATTACAGGTCTGAGCCCCTGTGCCTGGCCCTATCCTTCTAATTATGATTTTTCAGCTTGTTTAATAGTAATACAACTTTCTTCCTTAGCTATTTCTATTTTCCATTAAATTAATCACAGGTAGCTTCTCCTCATCCCCAAAACCTATACATTTACTTTTCATGACCTTTAACTGATTAATTTTGTAATAGCTTGTGCATGTGATAATTCCTTTAATCTCTCCTAATTTTTTTTTGAATTAATTAATTTATTTATTTTTAGAAATGGGGTCCTGCTTTGTCTTCCAGGCTGGAGTGCAGTGGTGTAATCAAAACTTTCTTCAGCCTAGAATTCCTGAGCTTAAGTAGTCCTCCTGCCTTAGTCACCACAGTCTCTCCTAGAATATTAATTTTACTTATCTTACAGTCTTTTTCAGTTTGCTTTATTAGTTCTACTGCTTTGGTGTTGATTCTTTTGTGGTTTTTTCTTTTGTTTGTTTTTTGTTTTTGTTCAACTGAACACCTTTTAAATATGTTTTATTTCATGTTTCATGCTTGTTATTAATTATTTATTCATTTGTTTAGATATCAATTAACCTATTTGTATTTGCCGGTTCTTCTTTCACAATATTACCTTTGGTGATTTGGGCAGAGGAGTGATATATGCTGTCAGAAGTGGCATGGTTTATCTCCTGAGAGGTGTCCTCCTGGAAGAGGGTTCTTCACTCTTGACCATCGATGACCTGCTGCATAGCCCTGCCTTTAGGGCTCCAGGACTGGGTGGCTTTAGGGCTCCAGGACTGGCTGCCTTAGCTTGTGTGCCAGTGTGATGGTTGCACTCAGTTTAGCAGAATAGCACAAGAAGAGAGATGCTGGTTTTCCCTGCATCCCTAAAGATATTTTCTCAAATAAGCCTCATAGAGCCCTGAAGAACCCTTCTGATTACGATGCTTGGACACATCTCACAATACTCCCACCTCCACAGCAGCTCTCCCCAACACCATATCTTCATGAGACTTTTCTTAGTCTTGCCTGATTGTCAATCCAGTCCTGTCTGCTTTCTCTTGTTAAGAATTGTTCAATATTTTTCTTACACTTCTGGTACTATTTCTTGCTGCCCAGCATTATTATAGATTTATACATTTTAAAGCATCTTTTTTCTTTTCAAGGGAATTTATGCAGAAGGCATAAAAGATACATGCACTTAGTTTGCTGTGATGTTCAGATTCTTTCCACTGACCTTTTATTTTAAATATACTTTAATATTTTTCCTTCCATTTGAACTTATTTGAATCAGTATTATTTTATTGGATTTGGGTTGTCCTGGGTTTTGTGGCAAAATATAATATATAATAATAGCTTTTTGCTCTTCATATTTTCTCTTTTTGCTGTTGAACACTACCTTCTGAAACTGACTTTATACTTTTTTCTTTTAACAGCCATTTCCACCATAACTTACTATTTTATCATTCCCTCTCTTTCAATTTTGTTGTTAACTCACATTTCCCGTCAATATATTGTCTGTTAGCAAAATTATCTTTAAAGTATTAACTTACATCTTGAATTTTATGCTTATTGCAATACTATTTCCATGTAAATAAGTGGATCTAATTTCTTTAAATCTTTTGACATCCTGAAAACTTTGCCTAGGAAGATAAAAAGTAACTTTATTAGTATAGTGAAAACAATTTAAATAAAAATCAAGCTATTAAACTCTCAAAAATATAACATGAACCAATTGTTTACCCCCAAAGTATTTGAAGCTCCTTCATCTCAAATTGCAAGCCCTGCCATATCCACCAATCTTAAACCAGTATATTATAATCTTTAAACCTAATCAAGCCCATTTCTCTCCCCATCCCATGCCTCCCACACTTAATGAAAGACCTGCCTTAAATCAGATTCCAAGCCTTACTGATACCCTGACTTTGTTCTTCTCTTTCCGAGAGGCTACTACAACTGTTTTGGTAGTGTTCTCCCTTGCTGAGATAGTGTGTATCTAGCTTTGTGTGATTAACAGGTTGTTTGTGTTTTTTTTTTTTTCAGGGAGCCAGCTTTCAACAAGTATGTATTATTTATCTGATTTTCCGATTTGGAGAACAAAAATGTTGAATTTATAAGAAAAACATAAAATTATTTAAAAAGACATGAACCACACTGTAATAATAGCATATAAAATGACTATATAGATGCTTAAGCACATTTTACACTATGGGTATGCTAGCTCTAATTCTTGCTCACTAAGAAAGATAAAACTCCTAGCCATGGGTGCCTAAGGAAAAATTTCTGTTGATCTGCTTTTGTCTGAAAAAGCATTAATTTCCTTTCCTTTCCTCTTTATGTATCATTAATTCATTAATTTCCTTTATAATCATTATATCATTAATTTCCTTTCATTATATCCTGAATTTCCTTTCCTTTCCTCTTTATGTTCAACACTATGCATTTAAATGATTATTTCAAAAGGACATTTAAAGGGTTATTTCAAAAGATTTTGTTCCTTTTTATTGTTGTGTATTATTTTATGGTGTATATAAATCACATTTTCTTTAATCCATAATTGATGGATTCCTGTGTTGATTCCATGTCTTTGCTACTGTGAATAGTGATGTGATAAACATATGAGTACAGGTGTCTTTTTGGTAGAATGATTTATTTTCCTTTGTGCATATAACCAGTAGTAATTTATTTTTAGCTCTTTGAAAAATCTCCAAAGTGCTTTTGCCATAACGTGGATGTAGCTAGAGGCCATTATCCTAAATGAATTAAGGCAGAAGCAGAAAAGCAAATACTGCATGTTTCAGGTATAAGTGAGAGCTAAACATTGGGTACAGATGGACACAAAGATGGGAACAATAAACGTTGGGGATTCCAAAAAGGGAGAGCAAGAGGAAGGGGAAAGGGTTAAAAAATTACCTATCAGGTACTGTATTCACTACTTGGGCAATGGTATCATTAGGTGCCCAACCTCAGCATCATGCAATGTATCCATGTAACAAAACCTGCATATGTACTCCCTGAATCTAAATTTAAACATAAATAAATAAATAAAGTTCATTGTTTGTGAGTCAATCCCCAGAAAAAGTAAATAATTACTTCCTTGTTGTAATATTTATTTATTAGAGCAATGTGTTCCTCGATAAATTTACTCCAAGTTGTTCCTCAAAGTACAAGATCTTTATCAATAATGGTTTTAAGGACATGTACTTTCCTTTTTATACAATGTCTCCCTAGAGTTCTATGCTCTAATTTCCATATTTTTTCCTTATTTAATCTCTTATCTCTTGGTTATGGTGGCAGAGTTGGTAAAGTTTAGAAGAGGAAAATTTGTGTTTAAAAGCCACTCACTTATTAAGAGAATAGGGTAGCTTTCAGATGAAGTGTATCCCTAGAATGTAATATCTTTTGGGTAAAATGTATTTTATTAAGAAATTTGTGTGTAATATTTATGCACATTCCCCTTGAATAGGAAAGGTAAAGCTCTTTAGGCTTTATTGGTGAAGTTTTATGTTGTAGTGAGTCTCTTTCTATAGTAAGAAATTCAAGATGAGGAGAAGGAAGGGTTTTTTTCCACCTTCTTCACTCAAATAAACTGTTGTTTTGCCCATTGAGGATTACTAAATTGCTTAAGAAATTTCATTGTCAGTTAATCATTAGTGAGAATTAGGTGCTAAAGTTAATATATTAGCTTCACACTCTAAACATACCCTTTGTACAGTTACCCATCTGATGTTATTAGAAATGGAACAAAACGATTACAGAGACTTAGTTAAACAAAGGTAGAAAACCACAAAGTAAAATGCAGAATTAACCAAGCACTAAACCCTATTAAGCACATACTAATGAATTAAATAGTCTTAAATAGACTTCCTAATAGAAGACTAAATTATGATTAGCTAAAGGCAATCGAAAATGTAATTGGTACTTGGCAAGGATCTTTAGAATTCAGGCTGCCCTGAAAATGGAAAGTATAGGTGACAATATAAGTGACTGTATTACTTTTTACACAAAAATTGCTAATAATTTTAAAGCATATTTGCCTATTTGATGCCTTTTTAAGTTCAATAAACATTTAGATTTTTAAAAGTAAACAATTATAAACCACATGTAAACATTCATGTAAATAAAGTTTTAAAATTATTTTTGACAATTTAGCTGTATGGGTAAGTATTACTAAGGTTGGTGAACAAAATTAATTCACAATACCATCACTTTGTTTATCTACACATTTTTCTTAACACATTTTTTGAATACCAACTCTGTAATTTCACCTCATAGCTTTGGGGAGACTGAAGAATGCAGTTGGATTGAGAGATGACGGATAATATGTGTCACTGACTAGTAGGAAAAAACAGATAAAGAACATGATGGAAGGAAACAATAATGAATTATATTTTGGACTTTAGAGATGGTTCTAACTTCTGATTTCATTTTTGTAAATAAAAACCTAGAATTTGAATGTGAATTTTCTGCTGGAGATATTTTTGAGGGGATGATCAGACTATGGCTCACAGATAACAGGAGAACCTTAGGGTGAATATGGCCTTCTTGTTACAGCATGTAGAATGAGAATAGATGAAGGCTAATAAATAACAACATGAGAGATCCTGGAGAAGAGAAACAGAAGGGGACCTAACACTCCTGGAAACAATGAAAATGTGTTATCATGTTAGTTAGATTTAACACTGCTATAAAGAACTACCTGAGACTTGGTAATTTAAGAAGGAAAGAGGTTTAATTGACTCACAGTTGCACATGACTGGGGAGGCCTCAGGAAACTTACAATCATGGCAGGAGGCGAAGGGGAAGCAAGCACCTTCTTCACAAGGTGGCAGGAGAGAGAGAGACCACACAGGGAAAATTACTGCTTTCAAACCATCAGATCTCATGAGAACTCACTCACTATAAGGAGAACAGCATGGGGAAAAACGCCTCCATGATTTAATCACTTCCCGCCCTGTCCCTCCCTTGGCATATGGGGATTACAATTCTCTGGATGAGATTTGAGTGGGGACATAGCCAAACTATATCACTTATGAATGTGCAATAGATACTATAACAGATTAATGTGTTGGTATTTACTAATCATTCTGTCTATCCCAGATATAAATTAATGATCCAGAGTATGGTTTTACCTATTTATGTAATTATTAGGTTTAATCTTGCTTAACAGCTGGGAGTGTATACTTCCAATTTTGAAAGAGAAAAGATTCCTTTTGCCTTTTGTCCTAAATTCAAACAGCCTGACCCTAACAGCTTGTTATTCTAAACTTGGCTAGGCCTGAGTCATAAAAGAGGGGCCATGAAATTTTGGAGAGTTGGATATTGCAGTTCGGTGAGTCTTTTCTGATAACCAGCATAGTTTCGAGGAATAGAGGAGGGATTCAGTAAATCATTGCTGTAGGTTAAATGAATCTTTTGGGAGTTGCATAACAGTCTCTATCTCCTGTATGTGCCTATATCGCTTATACTTTTATTGAGTGGATGAGAGAAAGGAGGAGGAAGTGTAGATAAATAATATTTAGGGTTTGTTAATGCATGAATTGTTGCTTTGATAATATTTATTTAGTTCATAGCTTTCTTAGGATTTCCCAGAGATTTAAGTAAGTTTAAGTTTTCCCAAGGGCTTCATAATTAGTTCTTCTATAGCACATTGAGAATTCCCAGATCAACTGATACCCAAGTGTTGACATTTAATTTATAATGTAAAAATGTGAAAGAGATAAAAGCATTGATGTTTATCTCCCTGTCTCTGTATTTCATATTCTGTTAAACATACCCATTTTAACCAATATTTTTCTTTATGATTTATTACACTCTAGTGTGTTGTGCAAAACTCACAAAAAGATTTTTCAAGTTTGTGGTATGAAACTTTTTCAGTTTTGCATTTGTTTTGTGTAAAAGATTTTTGACTTTTATATGTTACCTTCAGTGTATAAATTGGAAATAATGGATTTACAGTCAAATTTTCCATGCATTAATGAGATCCCATAAAGCTTTAGAAAGTTTAGACTATCTAACTTGGTTTTAAACTAGTAAATATTTTATGCTTCCTCTGGGGTTATTTTTCAAGCATTACATTACCAGACCTAAGCTTAGATTGTTTCTTATTTCCTAATATATTTTTGTTTATTTGTAGACTCACCAAAGAATGGGTATTTAATAAATATTTAATACATATTTTAAAATGAAGAAACAAACTATAAAGTGTTTGCAACAAAAATTTTGACGTGTGTAATTGATATCCACATTATGCTAATAGCAAAGTGTAATGTTGCATTTCACTTTTGCCCCTGGCTTCTTCGCTTTTATTGTTATTTCAAACTGAAAGTGATGCCAGTTTGAAGAGTCTTAGCAAAGAGATAGAAAAAAAAAGATGCAGTGACTTCTTTGGGGATCAGTTTTTGAATATCACTTGTCTAGGTTTTATAAGGAGAGATGAAAAGCAATGCCAATATATACTTAATAAAAATCTACTCAATTCTTCCTATTGACTCAGGCTTCAAAAGAGATACAAAAGGAACCTTGATCACTACACATGAGGAGCTCTCTTATTAAGATGCGGTGCGTCTAGGCTAAGGCAAATGAAGCGCTTATGATTCTGTGCCTTTGTGCCTCCGAGGCAGGAGTCCAGTGACCAAACTCTAAAACCATTAAAAAAAAAGAAAACAGATTATTAGGCTTCACCCAAAAGATACTGGGACAGGGTTATTGATCCAATACAACAAATACTATTAATTACCCACCTCAGGTGCAAAGTTTAGGGCACCAAAACAACTTAGTAATCAAGATAAATACTATTTTAATGCAATCTTTTTTAAAAATAAAAATTACTGCAAAAGGCAAAAAGTGATCAACAAACTAATACATTTTTAAATAAAGATGTGATTAGTATTATTGATCTTTCCTTTTGTCTCAGGCTATGATATGGCTCAATGGGGCATTGTATCTTAAAACAAAACCACAACACAACTGTGAAATATTACCATTTATAGGCCAAAGCCATAGAGCAAATGATTCCTTCAGTGGCCTGTGTTAGCTGCTTTCGCTTCCCTCCTATCAGGGAGTTTCTGCAGTTATGGGCTGCTTATTTGCTGCAGCTGTTAGACTCTGTCCTCTCAGCCAGCACCAGGGATCACCAAACTGGCAGGAAGCAATTGCCTTGAAGACAATCATCTTTGGAAGTGCAACTTCTGGACCTCATTTCAACAGGGCTCACAAATTTCCGTTACAGGCATATACCTATATTCACATTCATCATTGCTTTAGAAGAACTGGAAATCTGAGGAATGATTCGATCGAAATTCAACAGAAATCAATAATAACAAAGCAAATATGTTTATTTCTTTGAGAGATTTTGTTTCCTTCAGATTCAGAATTCAGGTTAAACTATGATCAGACAGTATATGCCTCCTGTTTTTAGACTGTTTATGCTTACTAAAGTGAATGGTGATAAGTTAATTGACAGTTTTCTTTTACATACATTGAGCAATTCCAGTTTAAAGGTGTGTGTAAAAATACTTTGGTAGGAGTAAAATACTTTGTATGCCTTTGATAATCACTATAAATATTTTCAGAAGGATAAAAAAGTAAAGTAAAATGTGTCCTGTTTCTCATGTAGATTTTATTACCTTTTTCTTACTTATTCTGCTTGTGTAAGGTGTTATTACTTTTTAAGAACAATTTTTACTATTGCTTACCATCTACATGGCATGTATATATAAAATGGGAAGAAAACAAAGGGAAATTGTCATGACGTAAATATTCATTTGTGTCTAAAATAAGTTGTGTCCTATCATAATATAAAAAATATGATAGAGGAATTATCTTGTAGATCAATCAAGAGAACTTTAATATCACCAATCCCCAACTCTAAGAAATACAGAGTAAGCTGAAATGGCAACCATTCCACAGTTTTATTGAAAAGAATGGAGTAATGTATACATTTCATTCATTTATCTGACCATAAGAAGAATGCATGAGTTCTATGCAGAAGACGACAGAGAAAAACACTCCATTTAGAATGAAAAATGTAACCTTTCCTGTCATTCTGTGTGACTCTTCCTACGGGTTATATTATGCTATGCATGATACAGCATAATAGTAATATTCCGTAAGTGCAGCCATTGGCAACTAACAAGAATTGTACAAAACCATGTCTCATGGCAATTCATGAACTTTACCTTCAAGTCCCAAGGATGCAAATGTCTAAGCATATGAAACTAAGTTAACTGATACAGGGTTTGATTATCTGGATGCCCCTTAGGTAACTGCTGATAGTCTACTAGAAATCTACTAGGAGGATGGAAGCAAATAGGGCAAATAGGAGAAACTGAGGAAAATAGAACAAAATAAAACTTTAAGATGTAACAGGTGGGGGAGAAAAACGAGAAGAAATAAAATCAGCAACTGTAATTCAATCTACAGACATTTGCTATGGGAACAAAGAGTTCTTTTCTGTTTAATAACTTCACGGCCCATTATTGAATTTCAGCCTAGTGAAGCAAAAATCATCAAAATAATGATCCTGGTTCATCATAAAGAAGGCAGAGTGTATTAAATAAAGCTGGTGAAAAGATAAAATTTTAATATGAGTTTTAAAGTCCTCTCTCAAAGTTGTGTGTGCATGTGCTAATAACTGATGTGAAAATAAGTAAAATAGTCACTTTAAAAATTATCTCATAATACCATCTCATTGCATTATGATAACATATGTTATGAAACCTAGCTATCTCTCTATTTTGAGTATTCTCTTAACAAAATGTTAGGAATAGTGTGTATCTCTTGGAGGCAATAATAAAAATAATTTCTTTTCCTCTGTCTGTCTAAGAAGACAGAGTGGTTATAGAGGAAAAAAAGGCTACACTTGATATTAGAAGTCCTTGATATGAGACTCTGCTCCATAATTTACTTATGCTGTAATCATGAATAGAAGCCTTTTAAACTTACATCTATTGAGGAAAATGATGTCTGTCCTGTCAACTTTGATAGGGTGTGGATCACATTGGATAATGAACCTGTAAAAACCCATAGTTCTCCTGGATAATACACTGAAGAGTGTTTTCCAACTTGGTTCCATTCTCCCCATCACTTTCAGGTACACAAATCAAACATATGTTTGGTCTTTTCACATAGCCCCATATTTCTTGGAGGTTTTGCTTGCTCCTTTTCATTCTTCTTTTTTCTCTAATCTTGTCTTCATTCTTCCTTTCATTAAGTTGAACTTCAGTCTCTGATATCCTTTCTTCCACTTGATAGATTTGGTTATTGATACTTGTGTATGCTTCACAAAGTTCTCATGCTCTATTTTTCAGCTCCATCAGGTCATTTATGTTCTTCTCTAAACTGGTTATTCTAGTTAGCAATTCCTCTAACCTTTTTTTTCAAGGTTCTTAGCTTCCTTGCATTGGGTTAAAACATGCTCCTCTAGCTCGGAAGTGTTTGTTATTACCCACCTTCTGAAGCCTACTTCTGTCAAATCGTCAAACTCATTCTCTGTCTAGTTTTGCTCCTTTACTGGTGACGAGTTGTGACCTTTTGGAGGAGAAGAGGTATTCTGGTTTTTGGAATTTTTAAACTTTTTGCTCTGGTTTATCCTTATCTTTGTGGATTTATCTACCTTAGGTCTTTGATGTTGGTGACCTGTGGATGGAGTTTTGGTGTGGACGTCCTTTTTGTTAATGTTGATGCTATTCCTTTCTGTTTGTTAGTTTTCCATCTAACAGTTAGGCCCTTCTGCTGCAGGTCTGCTGGAGTTTGCTAGGGGTCCACTCCAGACCCTGTTTGCCTGGGTATCGCCAGTGGAGGCTGCAGAACAGCAAAAATTGCTGCCTGTTCCTTTCTCTGGAAGCTTCGTCACAGAGGGGCACCTGCCAGATGCCAGCCGGAGCTCTGCTGCGTGAGTGTTGACCCTTGCTGGGAGGTGTCTCCCAGTCAGGAGGCACAGGGGTCAGGATCCACTTGAGGAGGCAGTCTGCCCCTTAGCAGAACTCAATCACAGTGCTGGGAGATCTGTTGCTCTCTTCAGAGCCAGCAGGCGGGAACATTTAATTCTGCTGAAGCTGCACCCACAGCCGCACCTTCCCCCAGGTGCTCTGATGGGAGTTTTATCTATAAGCCCCTGACTGGGGCTGCTGCCTTTCTTTCAGAGATGCCCTGCCCAGAGAGGAGGAATCTAGAGACATAGTGTGGCTCCAGAGGCTTTGCCGAGTTGCAGTGTTCGAACTTCCCGGAGGCTTTGTTTACACCGTGAGGGGAAAATCTCAGTAATGGCAGATGCCCCTCTCCCCACCAAGCTCAAGCATCCCAGGTCGACTTCAGACTGCTGTGCTGGCAGCAAGAATTTCAACCCAGTGGATCTTGGCTTGCTGGGCTTTGTGGGGGGGGATCCACTGAGTAAGACCACTTGGCTCCCTGGCTTCAGCTCGTTTTCCAGGGGAGTGAACAGTTCTGTCTTGCTGGCATTCCAGGCACCACTGAGGTATGAAAAAAACTCCTGCAGCTACCTCAGTGTCTGCCCAAATGGCTGCCCAGTTTTGTGCTTGAAACCCAGGGCCCTGGTGACCCGAGGGAATCTCCTGGTGTGTGGGTTGTGAAGACCATGATAAAAGCATAGTATCTGGGCTGGAATGCACCATTCCTCATGGTAGTGTCCCTCGTGACTTCCCTTCGCTAGGGGAGGGAGTTCCCCGACCCCTCATGCTTCCCAGATGAGGGGACACCCACCCTGCTTCAGCTCACCCTCCGTGGGATGCACCCACTGTTTAACCAGTCCCAGTGAGATGAGCTAGGTACCTCAGTTGGTAATGCAGAAATGACCCACCTTCTGTGTTGATCTCCCTAGGAGCTGCAAACCAGAGCTGTTCCTATTCAACCATCTTGCCCACCTAGCAAGACAGGCCAAGATTCAAATTCAAAAATTACAGAGAATACCACAAAGATAATCCTCAAGAAGAGCAACCCCAAGACACATAATTGTCTGATTCACAAAGATTGAAATGAAGGAAAAAATGTTAAGGGCAGCCAGAGAGAAAGGTTGAGTTACCCATAAAGGGAAGCCCATCAGACTGACAGCAGATCTCTCTACAGAAACCCTACAAGCCAGAAGAGACTGGGGGCCAATATTCAATATTCTTAAAGAAAAGAATTTTCAACCCAACATTTCGTATCCACCCAAACTAAGCTTGAACCAGGTTTTCTCTCTGGTTGTAGTACACTCTTGCTGTCTGTCTTTCTTGCCTTCTTTCTGCACATTTTCCTTTTAGGAAATCAAGACATATTTCACTTCCTTGAAGGGGTTTGAGATTGATAAAAAGAAATGTGAAGAGAAAGAAGATAATTTTTTTCTTTTTCTGGTCCATATAAAGATGATGCTCTAACCCTCCTCCCTTACAAGCATGTGTACCTATCAAAAGAAAACTTAGAAATTTGAATCTTGAGTTTACATTTAAGTCATAGCACGGAGAGGATTGAGAATGTGGCACAATGGAATTCTCATCCCTACTATTTCTAAATCACTCAGCAAACTGAAGCTAGGTCTCTTTGCATGGTTTCCAGAGGCGTCATGATGGAATGGATACAGAAAATGGACAAAATACTCAAAATTTATGTCTTGGTTCTCACCACTCACTCATGGTTGAGACTCATTGTCTACCTGTGCAGATACGGCATTGATGGAGGCTGGTGTGTAAGTGAAAAAGCCACAAATAATGATACTTCCCTGTTGAGTTCTATTAATACACAGTCAATCTGTAAGTTATTCAGTAACACCACTGAGGGAGCAAAAATGTAGCTGAGACAAGAGCTTTTATGCCTCCCACTAAGCTGCACTTTCAAGGGGGCAAGGTAACCCTGAAGGTGGAGTAGGAAATTAGACATTTTAACTGAGGAACCATGCAGATTGTGCCCAAGAGTCAGAGAAGTACATTTTCTGCTAATAAAGAAATGGAGACAATGAATTAGGGAAAACAACTGTGATCCTGGGAGCTAATAAAATCACAGACTGCCAGTGCTAAGACAACATCCCACATCTTTCAACAGCCTCTAAATTCATCAGCAGGAGGCCACACCAGGTACACAGGATGAGCAAAGCCAGAGACTTACACTCAGAAAATGAACTGTGACCACATTTTCTTCTTGAAATTAGATGCCATATTAGGGAGTAAGAAAAGTTAGGGAGAAACAACCCTGATAAGAACTTGAATTTTAAATGGTTTGAATACTAATACAAAAGAGATTAAGTTAAACATTTTTTTAAACAATGATTTTCACTTTGTCTTATCTTTCTTATAGGTTGGTGGCCTCTGATGAAGGTATTCCAAATATAGACATTAAAAAAAAAAACTTTTGTGTTAGTGATTTTAGTTGCTCGATCCTGCTATGTTAGGTAGGAACTCAACAAATGTAGGAAAAATTGAAGAAATGATGTGTGTCCTCATTTATATATTATTCCTCATTTTCTCTTGAGCACCTCTTTCAGGATTCAATTTCCTTTTTAAATTTTAAGATTTCTCTAGACCAATGACTTCTAGAGATCAGCTGCGACATTAAGTTGTAATACTGTTAATATTAACTAAACATGCTTGTGAAAAGTCTAGCCAAGCAAAACTCACTTACCTAAGAGCTGGAGTAAGTTCCCAGTTTATACTTGTTAAAGTCAAGTGGCTATTAAGAAATCAGGAGTTAATCCAAATGACTATGTCATCATTTTAGGACCTACTGGCTCCTCAGTTGCCAAATATATTCATGTTCTTTCTATTGAGAGACACATTACTTCATCAACATAATTCCCATGTCTTGTTCCAGGCTTAGGACCAAGCCTGACTTTAGTTAAGAGGGATTTAAGATGCTCCAACAATCAGGAGACTCAGGAGTAAGTTAGTCTTTCCACTACACTAATTCCAACTCTGTCTCCAGTTTTACATCTCTTGTGACCTTTACTCGGACTAAGTTCTCCTTCCACATCCTCTTTCCGTTATTTTGAGTGTCCAAACTCCTGCTTTTGCTATCTAATTAGTACCAGAGTCTTCTAAGGCTGGATTTCTGTTTTGCTCTTATTTGTCTCTCCTTCTAAGAATTGGCTAATTCTTCCTGAATGCTGGCTCTGTAACTGGGATGGAAAATTGTGACAGATTTATCATCTGCTCCACTGAGTTTCAGAGTACTGCCTGTAGAGGCACCTTCATTACATTGTGTTGGGCAGTCAGGAGGCCAAATGTTTTCCTGCATTACCATCTGTTGTCTGTATTCTTCCTACTGAGTTTTACTTCAACTCATCAGGTGTCATTGACTCTTTCTACCTAGAGCCGGTTCACAGTTCCAGGTACTTGCCTCTTCCTGTCTAGACTGCACCACTTGCTTTGGGACATAATGATTATTCATTTGGGAAAAAACTGTAGACCAACTAGGCTATATGCAGCTTTATCTAATGGAAAATCTGTCTCAAGCTGGCACATACAATGAGAAATGTATCAGTTTTCAAATTTTGAAGTGCAGGGATACATCGACTTCGAGGTTGAGATCAACTAATGTTTCCTTATTTATGCATGTAGTTATGGAGACATGCAGTGCCAAGGTACGATTTTAATACATCACTCAAGAATAAAAATCACATTTAGATTTACTGAATGAAATAAAGGTTTTAAAATACAAGAAGCCAAATTAATAGTAATATAAGCACAGTTTTTATTTATTACCTTGACTTGGGAAAGGGTGCTTTAAAGATAGCCAATAGAAAAGGATAGACTCAAGTAACTTTTCTTGGGAATATTTATTCAGAAGGTTTTCTGAAAGAAGATAGTATATTTTCCTTAGTTCTCAATCTACACAATTCTGTATTCAGGTACATTTCTTTGGATTCAGCATTTATTAGATTAATCCAGATCAGCTGGCTCTTTCTAAACAGGACTTTCCAGGATAAGCTTATTTTTGATAGAATTTATTTTTGCCTTATTCAATTTTACCTTTAAATGTACTGGTCTTAAGCCAAAATTAATATTTATTATATCATCATTATCTTGTTTTCCTGTTTTCTTCAATTATATGTACTTCTCTCAAAACACCCATTGCCCAGGTCCCGCCACATACATATATATTTTTATTTTATTTATTTATTTATTTATTTATTTATTTACTTATTTATTTATTTATTGAGACAGAGTCTCACTCTGTCACCCAGTTTGGACTGCAGTGGTGCAATCTCGGCTCACTGCAACCTCTGCCTCCCAGGTTCAGGTGATTCTCCAGCCTCAGCCTCCCAAGTAGCTACTACTACAGGCACACACCACCATGCCTGGCTTTTTTGTGTTTTCGGTAGAGACAGGGTTTCTCCATGTTAGCCAGGCCTGTCTCAAACTCCTGACCTCAAGTGATCCACCTGCCTTGGCCTCCCAAAGTGTTGGAATTACAGGCGTGAGCCACCGTACCCGGCCACACCACATAATTATTTAGATTAAAGGTCATTGTCATATTTTAATTTCGATATTTTGAAAATAATAACGTTGACCTTAATAGGAAGTTTTTTTTTTTTTATTTTATCGCAAAACTATTTATTAGGGGCTGGAGGCAAGGGCAAGAGACTTTCTATGAACCAGAGTCTTGAATAGTCTTATGTGCAAAAACCACTTTCATGTGTATCAGTTCTTGTGATCTTTATAACAATGCCATAAACTAAATTCTAAATTTGGAAGTTATGTTGTATGACAATGAGATATAATAAAAAATGTGCTGGAGTTGAATTATAACACATTCTCTTACATCTCTAATCTGTCTCTTACCTGCATGAAGACTTCAGATAATTTTCTTAATCAACTATGGCAGAGTTTCCTCAATCTAAAATGGGAATCAAAACAGATATTTTGTTCCATTTCTAGGAGTTGAGTGAATCAACTGAAATAATAAGACCTTAGTATCAAGGTATTCTACTAATGTAAATAAGAGCTTTACACTGACGGAGACCAGACATGCATGACTGAGGTAAATCAAGTATGTTTGCTTATTTAAAGGATGCAAGAAGAAGCCAGCTAGTTGGGATATAAAGCAGGAAAATCCACACTATTTTAAGTGATAGACAGAGGATTAAATTCATAGGCACCCTATAAAGCCCTCAGAAGTAAACACACAATTGCAAATGATAAGTCTAAGTGAACGACAACCATATCAGATCTTTTGAGAAAGCTCAAAGTCTTCCTTCTGTGGCCAGGCTTATATACAGATGGCTGCAGATATTCATTGCATCTACTGGGAGCCATCTTATTTTAGGCAGGTACACCTTACAGGTCTTGGTGTAATACAATAAACATTGTGAACACAGACTGGTTGACCACAGGGCAGTGCTCTCAGGAACAAATGGTCCTCATTTATCCCCCAGTATTCCTAGTACTCGCTTAAACTTAGAACTGCCAAATTAGAAATAGACTTAGTTACCAAGATGTCCTTACTCCACAGCCTCTTAGATTAGCCCCAGAATATATTTTTCAGTTCACCACGTTACTTAATATTTTCTGTGTATGTGGTCTTAACCAATCTAAAGAATTTGATGTTTAAACTTTCTTCTACACATCATGTTCTCTGTGTCAGGGAGTCAGATATCTAAATTAGGCCTCAAGGGTTTCAAGAAGCAATACGGGACAACTGTATCTAATATCCTGTTACCTAACTTACAAGATGACAGTTTCTTCTGAATTCTTGCCTATTATGACAATTAAAATACAGAACTTTTGGAATCTCCATAATTAGGTAGGCAGCCATTTTATCCTGTTCAGTTTATAATCAATTCCTGTTGTGCCAAATCACTAGAAATTGGAAGTTCATTGAAAATGCAAACGGTTGCATATCTATCCAGATAAGGCTGCAAGATGAAAGATATTATAGTGATTAACAGTATCTAAGTAACTGTACCGGAATTCTTGCTTCACATATAAGATACTTACATGTCTTGAAATCCCAGGGAGGAACCTCAGCTACGGTTCAAGTGAATGATCCCAATAACCAACGCTAGTTCATTTGGGAGAGAAGGAGAACTGTGCTTCTGGACGTTGTGAAGGACAGTACTTTTATTCCTCCAAGTGAAGTCATTCTCCCTCCTCCTCCATTCCCCAGTATAATGAAATTTCACAATATCTGTCAAAAATATTTTCACTAATTGATTTGAGTAGTAATTTTTGGTCAGGTCAGCTATAATGAGGAAGTAATACTCTAACTCCAGATTTAAGAGGGATCAGGGTCTTAAAAAAATTCTATATTGCTGATCAGATTAAGCCTATTGTGTATCAGTTGAGATCTAACCTCTTTCTCCAGGCTCTTTCCTTGAATAACTATGCACTGTAAAGTAATTACCATCATTGGTCAAACTAACCACGGTCAGTCAGGTCCTTCCACAAATAGGTATTTTACTTGAGTTGCTTTTGAGACAAAAAAAAATTAAAATTTTATAAATGTCTATATTATTTCCTATGTTTTATTTCATCTTAATAATCTAACCAAAGCTTTATATTTTTCTGATTTTTTTCAGGTAGTTCTAGAATACTGCTAAGGAAGGTACATGTTTGCACTGATTTGGGATGATCTATTTACTAGTAAACAAAGGTTGGAATATAATAAGGCAAGCCAGGCCACAGGACATCAATAGCAGAATTTTAGAGCTTCATTCACACTGCATTTCAAACACTTTTACCAGTACATTTTTAATAGTAATGGTAGAGGTGTCTACTACTTATTGAGTTCCTACTGTATCAGGTACTTAAATGTGCATAGTTACTCAAGGAAACGGCCTTGTAGGAAGAGGTTAGATCCTAACTGATACATAACATGCTTAATCCTATAAACAATAAAGGCATTCTAAAATAAATGATTCTTCGTATTCTTTTAAATTATCATGAAAACCCTACGAGTTATGTGTAAAATTATCCCCCCTTCCTTTCTATTTCCATCCCTTCTCTCTTATCCTTCCTTCCTTCCCTTACTCTTTTTCCATCTTTCTATCTCTCTCTCTCTTTTACATTTTAGTTGAGAAAATTTGGCCAATCTAGACATAGCATGTAAATAGATCTGATCTCTTTATACAACTGCTTTATGGAAACTGAGAGGCTTAAATATCACTATGTGAAGGACTATGGTAAAAGTGAAGTGGGTATCATTGAAAGGGTTCAAGATCTCCTTCCTGTGGGTGACTCTAGGAGCTAAAGTTAAAAATATTAGACTCATTAATAATCAAGGTGTATGTATAGATGATATGTATAATGATTGATATATATAGTTGTAAAGGAAAAATTCAGAGAAAATATATTTATATTGCTTTTTCACATTTTATTTTCAAGGGCATAAATTCTAATTAAGCTAAAATAAAATAAGTATTATAATTTCCACTTATAGTAATTATATCTTTGAGATTATTGTATTAATTCTAACAAAATGATCTATTTTTACTTATGATCAAGTTTAAGGTTCTATTAATGGCTAGTAAAGCAAGAAATCTAGCTTGTTCTTTCCTCTTTGAAAAATCAAATAAGGGGCATGAACTAAGTTACACTCATGAAAATATGTAATGCAGTAATAGTAATAAAAATGACATATTTTCAGTAAAGATAACCTTACTAAAATATTACAGGAAAAGAAATTAGTAAACAGAATGTAATTCCCTCCTGATATTGAATCCTTTACCTAGTAAAATGCCTAAAACATTGCCACAGAACATTAATACCCAGTTTTGACTGTTCCAAAAATTCTAAAAAACTACGGATCAAAACACTGCAGTCAGCCATCTGCAGCAGAGCCTTTAAAAGCCTCTTAAACTGGCAAGAGACCACATTAATCAATTTGTGATTTATATTGGACTTATAATTGATTTCATTTGAAATCATAAATATAGTTTCCATTAAAATAGACATACACTCCTAACACTGTAATAATGCACTATTCTGACAATATAGAATTGAAGTTCAAGTTCATAAATGAGAGAGCTGGGTTCAAGTAGCTGACAAAATGCAGAATGAGATTTGTAACTAGCTCTTGAAGGTAGGACCGTAAAGATGAATAGAGACAATTGAAAGTACTTTTGCATCCCAAATAAATTATTTTAAGTACAGTTCTGGAGGAGACTCTTTCTTAAATGATGGCTTTTATTATTTAAGCATGATTTGTAATATAATTCTCTTCCGTTAAACGTACCATTCCTCTTTTGGGGCCAGTATAGAGATGACACATTTGAAATAGTATTTTTATTGTCCTACATTGTAGCATTGTCTTCTGCTTCTACGTCTTAAATATTACCTGTAAACAATCCCAATGAACAGGTAATGAGTGAGCAAGTGGTGATATTAAATAACCAAACAGAATTGTATTACATTAGAGTAGAAAAAGTTAGATAGATAATCCAAAAAATAGTAAATTTCACATATTATCACATTATTATTCAATAGTATGATTGAATTGTACAAAACAGAATGTTGAAAAGGCTCAGAGTAACGAATATAGTCAAGAATATTTTTCAAAGAAGGATGATAAATCTAGGTAAAAATTGTGTACGGTTTCACTTCAAATTTTATTTCTAATCATCTTCTGACAGCATAAATGAAAAGACATTTTGAATACAGAGGTGATGATGGGGTCTCTTAATATTCAGAAAATTTCATATTTCTTCAGAATGTCTAGCAATGAAAATGTCTGAGCTGCTATTTCCATGTTAGATCAAGCAGCTGCTACAAGTTGGTTCCGGTGTTTTGAGAGCCCCGTTTCCCTACCCTTTAGTGAACATCCTCCATGTTAAGAGTCCTGGGATCTGAAGGCCCTCTCTCATCCATCTCATGGAAATCTTAGCCCTTCTCCCTTTCTCCCTTGAGCCCACGAGAAGCCCTTCTGACAAGGCACTGAGTCTCAGCTCTTCAGAGGGCACCCGGATCCCCTCTTACTTTGGCAGAATCCTCATTTCCTGTGCCAGTCCAAGCCTGACTCTCCTCTCATGTCCTGTTCCAAATCCAGCATAAGAGGACATCTGTAATGGCCACTACCAACGGAAGCCCTTGGCAAGTTCATTCAGCATAAAGGGGAGTGAGAGATGCTTATTCCACAGGTGTGTGTGTGTGCGCGTGTGTGTGTGTGTGTGTGTGTGCTTGAATGTGAGAGAGTTCCTCAGCATACCTTACCTCTTCTGAACTCCTAAGTAAATGAATTAATAGCATTTTTTTTTGTCTGAAATCAGTCACTAACTACTGTTTAAACATTTCTATGGGGACATGTACATTGTATTCCAAGAAAATAAAAAAGTATAAAAGTTAAATTGTGATGTTTTACTGCCTTGGTACATCGGTCTATAGATACTACAAATAGATTATCAATTACAAAAGAATTACAACATTTTAAACATACTTAATATGTAAGTGGATATTATAAATTTAATTTTCACTGATGCTCTTTAGGGTTATCATTAAAAGTATCATTTTTCAAGGAGGGGAGATATGTTATAACTCCTCCTACTACTACTACTATTATTATTATTATTATAGCAGTGTCATCTAGTGGAATGAGCATGAATGACAAAAATAACCTACATCACTGGTTTTCTGGGAGGAATAACTGAGTGAATGCACCTAAATTTCCTCTCACAGTTCCTGGTATATTTGTCAATGCTCATGATAGGTCTTTTTTTTTTTCTCGATGTGGACAATTATGGGTACTTTGGATTGTGCCATTCACTTATTTGCATATATTTTACATTTTCCAAAATAAATTATTTCTTCTGGTAATCAGTGAAAAATACTCAGTACAATGTCTGGCATGTAGTAAGCACTCCACAAACATCAGATATTGGTATTTATATTAATTATACATGTTATTTTCAATTTGCCTTCCTATCCAAGTCTAGGTTGTGAGCATTTTCTCACTTTACTAAAGATTCCTCAAAAATAATTTTACAGGTATATTAGAGATTTAATATTTCTTCTTTATTTCAATTTTTAAAATGCCACAATGAATGTTCTCATACATAAATCATTTTGTAGTGTTCTGAGTTTTATCCCTGAGGATAAAATTCCAAAAGTCAAATAGCTTTTTTAAAAATCATTCTTCCTCAGCATGAGAAATTCAGAAAGAATAGGAAATTTCTTCAATAAATTTTTATTTTCTGATAGTTGCTGAATATTGTATGTTTAAATTACATTTATACTCTAACTTCTTTCATTCTCATTTATCTGTTTCAAAATAGACCTCACAGTTTTCTTAGCAGTCTATATCTTTTAATTTTGGATAAACATGATTTGAGTAGCTTGTTAAAAAACAAACAAACAAAATTCCCCCAAAATCATGCACCCAAAATACAGTGTTTCAATTGAATATAAAAGCTATCTCTAAGCTCCTTGTCGGACTAAGAGAAGAAGGAAATATTATACTAAAATGTGATAAAGTGTTCAATAACAAAATAATATTAGGGTATTAGGGGAGACGATATTTTTACTGGGTTCAAGCTGCAGAGAATATTCTCATGTGGACAGTGCCATAGGCCGTGCCCAGACTGGCTGTGATCACTTCTCTCTAGACCTTCACACTATAGCTCGTGTGGCTGCACGGGCCCACAGGCTGGTCCTCCACACACAAGGTAGTTGCATTGTGATTGGCCACGCATGACTCCTAGTCATAGTTACATAATTTGTGGTCCATGAAGCATGAAATAACTGGAAGTAAAGTTAAAAGTTGTACCTGATATCTAAATCCTTTGATCCCAGTTGCTATGGCTTGCTAAAGGCTGGAGTTCCAAGTGACATGGTTGAAAGAAGCAAGGCAAGCTCCTTCTCGGGAGGGGGATGTGGCAGAACTCCTTGGACAGGAGGAGTGCCATTGCCACCAGCAAAGCATGTGTGCCCAGGAGGACCTAGGAGTCCTGAGAAGCCACACGCAACCCACATTGCTGAGCCTGCTAGACTTTGTCGAGAATACACTCTTTTAGCTCATCCCAATAAACTGGAAGTTTACATGTGAGACTGCCGATTTTCTCCAGGCCTCCAACCAGGTCCTCTGTGAATTAGTTCAGATGCGCTGCGGGATATAGTAAATGGTATAACACATGAAGTCAAAGGCAACAATTTTATATAACTGAAGCAAGAGTACACGTGTAACTTTTTCTTATAAGGATCTTAGTAGTGTTAGATGACAAAAATAAATTTATGGATGAGTCCTTTTAGGATATATTAGATTTACAAGTTTAAACATATTTATTTATGAAACATACAGGACTCTTGATATATGCTATTATATATTGTGATTGTACACTTCCAAAACTTTTAAAGAAAGTTGCTTCATCCCCACCCTCTGTTTCCACACCTCCACACCAAGGAATTTACTGGGATTAATATTCTATAGTTTATCATTTTGGGATTAATGCCACCTTAGGAAACATATTTTTCATATTTTGTACATTGTTACAGATAGTTGAAAAAAGCCTCATTGTTAAATAAGATGCAGTGTGTGTGTGTGTGTGTGTGTGTTTATATACACATGAAATGAAAGTGGGGTGATTGTATTAAGCCGTTCTTGCATTGCTATGAAGAAATAGCTGAGCCTGGGTGATTCATGAAGAAAAGGGGTTTAATTGGGTCATGGTTCTGCAGGATATACAGGAAGCATGGCATTGGCATCTGCTCAGTTTCTGGGGAGGCCTCGGGAAGTTTTTACTTGTGCTGGATGGTGAAGCAGGAGCAGTCACATGGCTAGAGCAGGAGCAAGAGAGAGTGACGGGGAAGATGCCACACACTTTTTTAAAATTATACTTTAAGTTCTGGGGTACATGTGCAGAAAGTGCAGGTTTGTTACATAGGTATACACGTGCCGTGGTGGTTTGCTGCACCCATCAACCCGTCATCTACATTAGGTATTTCTCCTAATGCTATCCCTCCCATAGCCCCCTCACCCCCTGACAGGCCCCAGTGTGTGATGTTCCCCTCCCGCCACACCCTTTTAAACAACCAGATCTCATGAGCACTTACTCACTATCACAAGGACAGCACCAAGGGTATGATTCAAAACCATTTATAAGAAATCTGCCCCCATGACCAAAACACGTCCCACCAGGCCCCACATCCAACACTGGGGATTACATCTCAACATGAGATTTGGAGGGGACATTCAAACTATATCAATAATATTTGTGGATTTGTGGAAGGTAGGCTCATATGGCCACTTGTTGAGGACTTTTGACTGGCAAGGCAGAAAGCAATCTGGGTCCTTGATTGAATCAAGAAGAGCAGAGAAGGAGGCAGCACATGAGGGGAGACTTTGCTGGAGCCGAAGGACAGAAGACGTTGAAGATCGCAGTCTCTGTTTTGCTAGAGCACACCCATTCCACTTCAAGAAATGGCGTGTGCCTGTAGTCTCAACTACTCAGGGAACTGAAGCAGGAGGACAAATTGAGCCCAGGAGTTTGAGGCTGTGCGATGATTGGACCTGTGAATAGCCACTGCACTCCAGCAAGACATTGAAGGTTGAGATACTGTTGAGACATGGATTGACCTGATATTGTAGGAATGATAAAACATATACTCGAAATTGTCAGTGTGCAGTGACTACAAAAGTGAAAAAGACAACAACCAGGACACTTTTCTTTTATTAATGTTATTTCCAAAATAAAGAAGAATTCCTGAACTAAAGTCTTGCATGCTTTATTCTCCATTTAAAACCATTGCTAGTCACAGCTTGGATGTATGCAATAAGCACACACACATTTATATGTACCATATATGCATCATTTGCCATTTTTCTAGAACAATAGATGGCTATGTATCCATGGAAATGCAAGCACATTCAAATTGATCGTAAATCTACAAACTGTATTTACTGAATAGACTATGTATGTTATGCGCGCATGTGTGTTGTGTTGTGTTGTGTGTGTGTGTGTATGTGTGTATGAAGATATAAACTTACCCTTTTATTATCCAGTATGAATTATTCAGGATGCCTTGTTGATAAAATATTCTGGGTATGGTTTATGGGTTTAACTGAAACATAAGTGAAAAAGTAAAATTAATCTGAATAAATATAGTCAAGTTTAAGAAAATTTAATGGCTACCTTACTCAAACAATGATTAAAAATGAATTGTTGATTTATTTAAGGAAACCAACACATAGGTTTATTCAAATTTCCATTTCTGAATGCTCTCTATATAATTTCTTGCTAGTTATAATATCCTTGCTCATTTTGATTATTTGGCAAACAAGTGTTTTTGGAAGGCACAACTTAAATATACTAATATGCATTTATATGCTATTAATTGAGAAATAAGACATTTCCTCTCTCTCTATATATATATATATAGAGAGAGAGAAGATATAGATACTACTGTAGTCCTACATTTATATATTTTCACTTTTTTTTAAAGAGATGGCTTTAAGTTCTGTTAGTATAAATAATATATAAATTTGATATAAGATAAAGATTATATTCTTATTTCTGACTGAAATCCCATTTATATTTGACTTAGATATAAAAACTTAAAGAACATGAACTATTGTTAAACACAATGACTTCTTATTTAGCAATTATACAAAATATTTTTCTCTTAGGATAAGAGGCTCTTAGGATAGACAAGGGCTGATTTTGATCATTCAGCCCAAGATGGGAAGAGAAGATTGTGTGCAGGTGAATAGACAGAGGGACTTATCTATCTGTTCTCTCAAGTGCACCCATGTAATGGTTTTCAACCGTGGTTCAACACTTAAATCAGAATATTTGGGAGCATAACCAACTTTGGTATTTTTAAGCACTTCTTAAATGGTAGCAGTTATGTGCAGACAGAGGTGAGATGCTCTGAAAAGAGAAGCTCCTTCTCACCAGCACCCTGTAATTCTGAAGGGAGGGAATGCCTACTTTATAGGCAAAGATGGAAATCTTGAGGTAGAATAGTTTTTCCTATTATACAGACTGGATCATCACATTTTTGTTGTTTGGGCATGAATCTATTTGACAGAGAAGCCCTGAAATTTTTTTCTGCTAAAATTCAAAGCTTTATAACCAATATTGACCTGAAACAAGCCCAGGGGGTCAGGGGAGAGAGAGTTCATATATTTCAAGAAAAAGTATTTTATATACAGGAAAGGCGGCAACAAGGAGTAGAAAATACCTTTGAATTTGGATGGAGAAGGCTGTAAGTCCGAGTCCCACGGCTGATTCCGACTAATTGTACTAACTGTGTAGAAAATCCCTAATGTTTTTTCTACTTCTAAAACTTCACAACTCTCATTTGGTTTTAGAACCCTCTTAATTCGGTTTTAATTTCCTTTTCTCTTTTAGCCTCACCTTTCTCTTTGCTCTCAAGGTGTTCCCTGCAATTATTTATTGTTTATTTTAATAGCCCTCTCTAACCTTTCCCTTTGTGCATTTAAACTTAGCTCTTGAATGTGTAACCCATAAAGTGACCTACTTGCTTTTAGTTGTAATTTTATACATAATCAGTTAATAATAGGGTTTTAGTATCTAACACACTTCCTTTTTTGACATTTTATTCAATTGAATTTGGAACAGGTCTTTCATCCAAATGAATGAATGGTAAATTTTCAGTTCTCAATGCTAGGTCAGGAAAGAATAAAAATTAAGAAAAGATACCCTTTCCAAACGTTAATAAGTATATACTTAATTTATGTAGCAAAGTAGGTATGGCTTTAGATAATGGGTATTTTAAATAATACCCTCCCATAATTAAGCTAGTGCTGGAACTTTCTCTCCATATAATTCCCAAACCCTTTCAATATACCATAATTCAACAATATCATGTTCAAGTTCCATCTAAATAGATATCCTTCTTGCTACTTGTGATTTAAAAAATGTGTTTCCTGTGGTTAGTTAATAAACATATAAACAGTTTCAAAAGAATGAAAATATAATTTTATATATTGTGTGGAAATCTAAGTACATAAAACTTAATGCACATGTAGCATCTAATGTTCAACAGGAAACACACATATATCTATATCTAGGAACTAAAATTCACTGTGTATCATAGTGTGTTGAGACCTTAGGAGTCACATAATTCAAAACACAAATAAACTGTCTTCTTTGACATGTGAGCAATTCAATTTATCCAGTCAATGAAGAATAACACAGAAATGGAGTGGGAGGTATATTTCCTCTCAATTAACTGTTTTCTGGTTGTTGGTTTTAGATTGTTTTCTAACAACTTGATGTTTCTAATAAATTGTATTCTGCTGTGTTCAGTTGTGCCCCTTCTAATCTACACTGCTGACAGATATTTCTAAAAAGGCAAATTACATCATGTTACTTCCTAATTATTATCTTTATGCAGCATCTCGTTGCCTGAAGCATTGATTTTCAACACTGCCTACATATTAGACATGGAAAACAAAACAAATTAAAAAAAAAAAACTCTTGACGACCAAGCTGCTTCCTAATCTTTACTGTTAGAGCCTGGCCATAGTCATTTTAAAATTAGAATCCCCTGATGATCCAAATACAGTTATTCTTGGGAACAAGAGGCTACATCCTCAAACTGATTTCTTCTGCGTGGCATGTAAGTAGGATGCTGACACCAGAGTCCACCTCTCTTGTCTCCAGATTCTCTTCCCAACTGCACTTCATTTTCAAAAGTACATGAACACACACAGGCACACACAAATGCATGCATGCATGTGCCAACATCCTACATTCAGTTGCTTTTAAACTCCTTCATGTTTCACAAATGAGCCTCAGATGAGATTTAAAATCTGGGTAAATGTGGTCAACAGAAGTTCTGGATCATCCAGCCACTCAGTCAGAGGCAAGTCCAAGAGGACTCTGCTTTGTTCAAATGGCTTGTCCTGGTAGAAAAGAACTCTGCCCCACCTACCCCTCCCTTCCCTGCATTAGAACCCGAGCCTTGATCGCACCAGAACAGGTAGTGGACCGACCACACCATCCCGTGCATGCTCAAGACAGCCAGTTGACTGGACTTGTAGAGTAAAGCTGCCTCTACACCCTAGGGAAGGACCATGTTATGTTTCCTTACTCTGAGCTGCAATCACCTGAGGACCAGATAAGAAGCAAAGCCCAGATGTTTATTTCCAGCATCCAATATTTTACATGCTGCTAGAATTCTGCTAGTCCTGCTTATCTGCCCTCCTCCACAGATCAGTTGGAAAAAATATCCTCCAAGATTCATGTCCTGCTTTGCTCTAGAACTAGCGAAGTGCTTTGTTAATATTAGGCTATAAAATTTGTTGAAAATGAATAACAATAACAGTAATAATAGCTTCTTATGTACCAGGGAGTGAACTACATACACACTGTTAATATGCCATCTTCTATATTGTAATTTATTATAATTTTTATTTTTTAAAAAAGTCTATATGTGAGTAGTATTATCTCCATTATACTAATGAGAAAATGGAAAAATTTAGGAAAACGAGGTAACTTGTTCATGAAAATTATCATCATTATCATTGCAAACTAATATTGACTGAGTTTTCCTTCTGCTAGCTACTATACCAAGTGCCTTACATATCATAACTCATTTAATTTTTATGACTCCTATAAAATTATGTACTAATATTATCCCAGTTTTGTAAATGGGGAAATTGGGACAGACAGAAGAAAACCTGCCCAAACTCACTCAGCTATTAACAGTCAGAGTTTGGGTTTAAGCGTAGCCAGTTTGGTCTCTGACCAGTGTCTTAATTATAATGTAGTGCATTGTTATTTAAACATAGTACTATGACTTTAACTCTCTTATTTTATCCACTATTTAATGAAATAGAATCATTATCTGACTCGCAAAAATTATTTGTCTTCTGAAAATTGGAAGTAATCTTTTTTAGTCTTTCATGTAACACACAAAAATCTAGATTTCAGAAATGAATATATGGAGAGAGAAATATATCTAGGGTATATTGAATTCAAAAAAATGAACATGAGTTTTACTATGACCTGAGAATTGTAAATACATTTAATTAATAAAACCAATTTAATTAACAAAAGGATTTTAAAAAACTACACTGTATTAGTCCCTTAGAGAACTTTATTCATTTGCACATTGGTGCAAGCCCATTGCCCTATATTTGGGGGGATATTTTAAGAAACGATCTCCATGAGTCTCTGTGCTTTGCTTGTGCATTTTTGCTGTTAAGGTGGTTGTTTATGATATTCCAGAGTGTTTTCTTAATTGGAACCATTGGGGAAACATCTTTCTCATCTCATTTTCACTGAAGGTTGTGCCTCCCCTGAGAAAATGAGTTGCTTTAATCTTATGAACCTGTGAATGATGTAGCATATTTTGATTACCCCTTTATTCTGGCTAGTAAAAATCACACAGGCAAATTTATGACATAGCTTAAACAAATATTTAGGGAGTTATATCTCAAATTTGGTATATTATCTTCAATGCAATCTGTACTTTGCATTCCTACATCTATTTCACTATGGATGTTAAAATTTCATGTAAGCTAAGGCTATGTAAATGTAATTATTAGTGTCCATATTGGCAGATAAATTTGCCTTATTCTAGTTTGCTTTGATTCTATCACACTGGAAATAGCACAGTTTATTTTTTGGAGATTGAAAGCACTGAGTATCTAAAATGGAAATAATCAAAATATGAGGATTCTTAAATTTGCAGGATACAGGAAAAGGAAATGTTATTTTGCCTGGAGGGACTAAGTGTGCAAGTATGACAACTATATTCAAATAGTAATAGCTGTGACCATCAACTGGTTGTTAATGTCTAAGTGCACAAACTCTGGGGCCAGATCCTTGGGTTCAAATCCTGCCTTTTCCTGTTATTGAAGGAACCCAGTGAGTTGCTGAATGTCTCTGTGTCCCAGTTCTTTTGTTTGTATAATGGAGATAATAGATCCTACTGTACAGGGTTTTTGTATCAATCAAATGAGTTTAACTATATAAACTTCTTAGAACTGTGTCTATAAGCACTATAAAAGTGTTGGATATTATTATTTGTTGAATTTTTCCCACCTGTTGATATTATCAAGAATGATGATATGAGTATGGGTAGAAAGAAAGGAATGAAGAGGAGTTAATGTTTTCAACAAATAGAGAAGAATTAATGGGAGGTCTGTTAATTATTGCTTCAGGGAGCTATAGCCAAAGTAAGTCCTTTAAGACAATTTGTAATTTAAAGCATGGGTCCCCATCACTGGGCCTGTTAGGAACAGGGCCACACAGCAGAAAGTAAGCAGCCTGACAGACAGCATTACCAACTGAGCTTGGCCTACTGTCAGATCAGCGGTGCCATTAGATTCTCATAGGGGCTCGAACCCTATTATGAACTGCGCATGTGAGGGATGCAGGTTGAGTGGTCCCAATACGAATTTTACTAATGATGATCTGAGGTGGAATAGTTTCATCCCAAAACCATTCCCCACCAAATCTCCACTGGTCTGTGGAAAATTGTCTTCCATGAAATTGGTCCCTGGTGCCTAAAAGGTTGGGGTCCACTGATATAAAGGACAAAAAAAAAGATTGGAAGTCATAGTAGGACCAAGCACGACAATATTCCCACCCTCAAGTTCCGACATACAGAGGTAAGAAGAAAGTCTAGCTTCCACCTAAGGGGGCTGCAAGGAAACAGTATTCTCTCAGAAACCAGTTTTCAATTAAGAACTGGTGATGCAAAATTAAACAAATTTGAAGGTTGCAGGTATTTAATATTACCTAACTACCTACTCAAACTTACAGTTTTCAAACTACCTTTCATGCTAACCTGTCATTCTCGGTGCTGACAGCTGCTATAGGTGTGTTTCTTAATTATTTCATTTCTTTAATAATCCCTCTTTGGTTTTCATGTACATTTCAATCTTCTTCTGAATAATGGCTAGCTGCTTAAGTTTTTCAGGTGTTAACTCCTCTGACCTTTTGCTATGGTTGTGTTTGGTGCGCCATGTAAGTGTGTCCTTTTTATATCTGAAGTGGAAACCACTGCTTATTTTGTATAGTCAGTGCCAATGTGAAGGAAGCTATTCTTCCCTAGTCTGTATTGGGACGCCAAAAGGGGAATTATTGAGGTTATTGCTTGAATTTTATCCACTTGAGGAGAAAAACATATTACTCTAAAAATTCATCATCTTCTAGATGCCAGACCTCATCAAAAACACTACTCAATTTAGAAAGAATTGTGGAGTAGAAGAGAAATTAAGAGATTGCATTATTGATTGGGAGGCATTTAACATCTTCTTCCCTTTTCATACCATAGGAAGCTGAGGGAAAAAAAAACCAACAACAACAACTATGGGTCCACATTGATTTTATTTGGTGTTTGGGGCATTAAAAAATCAGAGATGCTGAAAATATTTAAGACACCTGGAGGCCATACTAATCAATATCCTCCATTTCATTGTAATGTTTACTAAATATATCCTTAAAGCCATAACTCAATTTTGGGTATAAGCATGAACACAGCTCCACCCAAGAGGGCTGCAGGGAAAAGGTATTCTCATGGGAGCTAGGTTTCAGTTAAGGTAAAAAGGTGGTAGAAAAACTAAAACGTATTTGAAGGAAAATTATAGGGACTTGGTGGTGGTTCCACAGGAGTTTCAGAGAGAACAGTGGAAAAGTTTTACAGAGCTCAGGTTAGAAATACACAGAAGAGTAAAGTGGTAAAATACAACAGATGCTCTGGGAATTTTGGGCTTCTGGAAGTCAGATATGCATAGCAAAAAGGCATGATGGAATTAGTCTCAAAAATTGTTTAAAAGGAGGCAATCTATCAATTCACGGTAGATTGAATTGGCTTCATGAAATGGGGCTTCTGAACAAACTACTGCCTCCTGGGACCCTGAATCATGGATGGAGAGGAAGAAAAACAATCTCACAAGGAACACTTGGTAAGGTAAAGACATCTGTGATATTGTTTTCCTAGGCAGATATAGAAGTTGTGGCAGCACCAGAGAAACATGCTAAGTGATAGTCCTTCAGAAGATTTATTTTTTTCTCTTCTGTTCATGTTGTTAAAATTAGAGAGACAGCTGGACATCGTGGCTCACATCTGTAATACCAGCGCTTTGGGAGGCTGAGGTGGGAGGATTACTTGAGCCCAGAAGTTGAAGACTAGCTTGTGTCAAATAGAGAGACTCCAGTGTCTACAAAAAGTTGGAAAAAAAAATAGATGGTGTGATCACTTGAGCCCATGAGTTCAAGGCTGCAGTGAGCCATGATCATACCACTGTATTCCAGTCTTGGTGACAGAGCGAGATTCTGTCAAAAAAAAAAAGAAAAGAAAAGAAAAGAAAATGAGAGAGAGCATACATGAAATGAATTTATCCTTTAACAGGCCAGAGACACAAGGAATAAATGGATCTATTACTGAAAACTTGCCCAATTATGAAATACATGCCTTGCTCTTAGTAAGTTTCCTGTCATCTGGAAAGAAAGCTGAGATGCGTAAGGAAAAGGCTTAAAAGCATCAGATAACAAAAGCTGATGGTATTCGAATAATAGCACAGACCATGGTTCTGAGGTGTGAAGGAATTTGCACAACAGAGAACTTGAGAGGTTAAAGTGACTAGACTACAGAGACACAGTTGTGAAGGAGCTAGAGGTGTATTCAGAGGCTCTATCTCAAGAGTGATTTTAAGCCACTGACACATTTTAAGTTAGTGGGTTAAAGTAATGTTTGCTTGGTAACGAGAGAGAAGTGTAGGTAAAGAAATTATAAGGCTGTGGCAAGTCTAGCTTACAGGAATTTGCAATAACTGTGGAGTGCAACTATCATCTCGGATTATCCTGTCCAAGTATCCATGTCTTATAGGAAGTCAGTATATCCTCCACAATTTCTTTGAATGCTTATGTTCTGATAGTCATATTTGGATTGGATTTCTCACTGCTTTTGGATTTTTGGTCTGTCGCATTGGATTTCCCATTGCTGAGTCCTTTTCTGCCCTGAACTACATGTATAACAGCTCATTTTCCATGCTTTCTTCAATACAACTTTCCCACAAAACGTTTTTGATTTGGTAACTTTTGCAGGGGTTTGTTTAATGGTAGGAAAAGTGGCCCATCACACAATAAAAATAACTAATTAAAATTAGACACCATTGTGTGTAAGAGTATTGGGCCATCCATCCCCACAGCCAGGAATTTTATATTAAGAGGCATTTCCCCTATCTGCTACAGATTGATTGCATCTACTTCCTAGCCTCAGTACTCTGCTTGTATCTCCCAGCTCCTCAAATGCTTTCAAACTTCTGAATTTAGATTAATTCCATATGCGGAACAGTTTAGCTGTCACTCTGTCACTACTATATTATCTCCTTCCCCTCATGGAAATATTTTTCTGAAAAAAGAAATCAATTCACAACAGAAATAAATTATAACAATATTGTAGTGCACAGAGGATTTGTGTGGCTTTAAACAGCACATTTTTGTACCTGTAAAAAACCACAGGCAACTATTGCCCATTTTAAAACAGGGTTCTTAGTTCTTCTGTTGTTATGTTGTTTGAGTTCCTTATATGTTTTGGATATTAAACCCTTATCAGATGCAGTTTACAAAAAATATTCTCCTATTCTGCAGGTTGTCTCTTTGCTCTGTTGTTTCCTTTACCATTTAAAAGCTTTTTTGTTTGACGTAATGTCATTTATCTATATTTACTTTGGTTGCCTGTGCTTTTAAGGTTTTATCTAAAAAAAAAATCCTTATGTAGACCAATGTCATGAAGCTTTTCGCTATGTTTTCTTCTAGTGATTTCATAGTTTTGGGTCTCACATTTAAGTCTTCAATCCATTATGAGTTACTTTTTGCATACAGTAGGAGATAGGATAGGGTCTAGTTTTCTTGTTCTGCCTGTGTATATCCAGTTTTCTCAGCACCATTTATTGAAGAGATTGCCCTTTCTGCATCGTGTGTACTTGGCACACTTGTCAAATATCCACTGGTTGTAGATGTATTGGTTTATTTCTGGATTTCCTATTTTGTTCCACTGGCCTATATGTCTACTTTTTATGCCAGTAGCATGCTGTTTTGGTTACTAAAACTTTGTAGTATGTTTTGAAGTCAGAAGTATGATGCCACCACCTTTTTTCTTTTGCTCAGGATTTCTTTGTCTATTCATGGGCTTTGTGGTTCCATATGAGTTTTAGGATTTTTTTTTATGTCTATCAAGAATGCCATTGGTATTTAGATAGGAATTGCATTGAATCTGTAGCTTGCTTTGTATATTATGAATATTTTAAACAATATTACTTCTTCCAAAAAAAAGAAGACATACAAATGGCCAAGAGGCATATGAAAAAGTTCTCAACACTAATTATTAGCAAAATGCAAATCAAAACTACCACGAGATATCTCCTCACTACAGTCAGAATGGCTACTATCAAAAAATCAAAAGGTACACAAACAAGCGCTAGCAAGGATCTGGAGAAAAGGGAACCCTTACACACTGCTGGTAGGAATGTAAATTAGTACAGCCATTATCAAAAACTCAGAAAAAAAACAGAACTACTATATGATCCAGCAACTCCACTACTGGCTATTCATCTAAATTAAATAAAATCAGTTTGTCAATGAGATATCTATATTCATGTTTATTACAGCATTATTCATAATAGCCATGATATGAAATCAACCTAAATGTCCATCAATGAATAAATGGATACAGAAAATATGGTATATATACATAATGGAGTACTATTCATCCATACAAAAAAATGAAATCTTGTTATTCGCAGCAACATGCAAAAACTTGGGAGACGTCATGTTAAGTGAAATAAGCCAGGCACAGAGGACAAATACTGCATGATCTCATTCACATACGGAATCTAAAAAGTTGTTCTCATAGAAGTAGAGAGTAGAATCGTGGTTAACAGAAGAAGGGGAAGGACAAGGGAAGGTGGGATGGTGAAAGATTGGTAAATGGGTACAAAGTTACAGTTAGTTAAGAAAAATAAATTCTGGTGTTCTACTGCATAGTAAAATAACTGGCATTAACAACAATATATTGTACATTTCAAAATAGCTAGAAGAGAGGTTACTGAATGTTCTCATCACAAATACATTATAAATGTTCAAGGGAATTGATATGCTAGTTACACTGATTTGATAATTATATAATTTATATGTATCAAAACATCATGTTGTACCCCATAAATACGTACAATTATTATATGTCAATCACAAGTTTCAAATAAAACCCCACAGAAAGCTAGTGCAGTTTCCTGAGGAAATAAAATATCAAAGGAGGTTTGTAATAGAGATCGGGAGTTGCATTCAAATGGAATAAATCATATATTCTATTTCTGCCCACTAACATCTGGGCAATTTTCCAATGCAATAAGAATTCAATAAATTTATAAACTATTACTAGAGCATGCAGGCCTCTTGTTTTTAAGTGTGTATAAAGATTGTTTACTAGCTGGAAGAGGTAACTCATGCCTGTAATCCTAGTATTTTGGAAGGGTGAGGTGGGCAGATTGCTTGAGCCCAGGAGTTCAAGATCAGCCTGGGTAACATGGTGAAACCTGGTCTCTACAAAAAATGCAAAAACTAGCTGAGCATAGTGGCAGACACCTGTGGTCTCAGCTACTCAAGAGGCTGAGGTGGGAGGACTGCTTGAGCTTCAGGAGGTCGGGGATGCAGTGAGCCAAGATTGTGCCACTGAACTCCAGCCTGGGTGACAGAGCAAACCCTGTCATAAAAAAACAAAAAAAGTTAAAAAACGATTTTTTACTGGTACTTAAAATGTAAAAAATTAATAACTTAATAACTACAATTTTTGTAACTATTTACTTTTACTGATTTTTATTCTCCAGTCCAAATATAGCACATGGGGAAAATAGATAGATGAAGAAATATAAAACCAGACTTTTAAAAGAAGTTTGTTTTTAAGATCTGCAGCTGAGATGTGAGATAGAGGAGCTTAGCCTAAAGGAAATGCATTTGTTTCTGTGTCACTGCTCATAAATCTAGTTATACATTTCTTTTCTTTCATTCTCAACTTTCCAGATGAGAAAAGTTTTACTAAGATAAGGGAATATATTTTTTATGTATCCTTTAGAGCAGCTTTCTGGATAGAAATATAAGCAGTTGCATTTTTAAATAACTGGTTTTGTTAAACAAACTATAGTCATCAATAAATTCACCTACCTTTGCTTAAACTCAGCATCGTGCAAAGAAACATATTTGGTTTCCAATGCCAACTATATTTTTGAGTTCTTGAATGAGCAGCCATTGATTCTAGAATCAATCCTTTGGGCTGCTTTATTGGAGTAATCACTTAAGGCTAGGACAGTTTGTTTTTTCCAAGTTCAGGATTCATCCAGGCAGGTTTTAGGAATTACTTCGTATTATATTGAGTATACTCATATAAATATATTGCAAATAAAATATAATTTGTAATTCATTTCTGATAAAGTTCATCTGAAGATAAATTACCCTTGAACAACATGGGTTTGATCAGCATGGGTCCACTTATATGCAGTTTTTTCAATAAATATATTGGAAATTTTTTGGAGATTTGTGACAATTTGAGAAAACACGCAGATGAACTGCATAACCTAAAAAGTCAGAAAATTAAGAGAAAGTTAGGTATGTCATTAATGCATAAAATATACGTAGATACTAGTTTATTTGTTAAATTGACTATGTATTTGTTAAATTGACCAGTAAATCTTCTGGTCAACAGTGGGCTATTAGTTCTAAGTTTTGGGGAACTCAGAAGATATATACAGATTTTTTACTGCATAAGAGTGGCACCCCAATCCCTGCATTGTTCAATGGTCAACTGTATTGCTATTTTACTATTAAAATTATCTCATAAATATTGATGAAATCATTGATTTAACTGATAATTCATTGTACATGGCATCAGAGTCAGTCCACAAGGGGGCTCCCTTGCTCTAATTTTCAGAATTTTCCCTTAAAATGGATTATGACACTTTGGAAGATTTTTTATCTTTGCAAAAGAATTTAATAAACCAATTTTAAATGCACCAGAAACTCTGAAATATATTAATGGGTCACATTAACCTGAAAGAAAGAAGTACAGCCTCCACACTCTCTGGGGCATGTCATTTTCCTTAGTGAAAAACTTTCTTCACTGAATGTTATCTTGGTAGTCAAGTATGACAAAGTTGTGCTTCTCTAAGTTGTGCAAAACCAACTATATCACTGATTGCCTAAACACTGCAAGACAAATAACATAATTACAATGGTTAAGATCTGTAAGACCTTCAGGATTTCCAAATGACAAATGCTATTTCAAATGGGCAGCCACATAGCACACAAAACTAGACTTTTGGTTTATAAAAACATTTTTATAACATCTTTTTTAAAAAAGAAAAATAATCCTATTTATTCCTTCAATAAAATAAGATTTGAAAGCATTTGAAAATATCTAGTCAACTAAGCATCTGTTAGTTACTTTTTCAGGAATGCCACTGTTTATTCTGTTTGGTTCAGAAAAATATTTGAGTGCTGGTTTCATCGCAAATACTGCTTTGAAAACCAGAGAAGTTTTTAAACTTCTCTGATATCCCAAGCAGCTCACAGTTTCCAAGTGGAGAGTGAAACAGAAACAATCATACAGCAAAATGATGGAGGTGCTGAATAATACAGGGGGTTTTGCATCTTGATAAGCCAGAAAAGAAGACTGAATTTACCTCAGGTTTAAATATATCTGAATATAATGCATTATTTGACCTTTTTTAAGGCAAATACTTGTTGCTTCTTTTGCCTTGTACCAGTTGATGTGCTTCATAATATTTGCACATCCTCTTATATCATCCTTCCTCATACCGTGCAGTGGGTGTGACCATTAGCTTCCATTTCAGGCCTTTGAGCACCATTATTTCCCCTGTCAACAATGGAGGACTGATTAATCCCGACGCCCAGTTCGGCCTCTAGGTGGTGCACAAGTCTTTTTTGTTGTAAAGCTGACATCACACCTCTGATTAGTCTCTCTTTTCTTAACAAAGAAATTTCTCAGAAAACACTGCTATAGGCTTTCAAGTCTCACAAGATTCCATGAGTAGCAACCAATTCACAGGAGGAATAAAACACATGATGGGAAGGTTTTTGTTTTTGTTTTAGGATGGAGTCTAGCCCTGTCACCCAGGTTGGAGTGCAGTGGCACCGTCTTGGCTCACTGCAACCTCCGCCTCCCAGTCCCTGTTCAAGCAATTCTCCTGTCTCCCGAGTAGCTGGGATTACAGGGGCCGGCCACCATGCCCAGCTAATTTTTGTATTTTTAGTAGAGGTGTGGTTTCGCCATGTTGGCCAGGGTGGTCTCAAACTGACCTCAGGTGATCCACCTGCCTCGGCCTCCCAAAGTCCTGGGATTACAGGCGTGAGCCACCGCGTCCAGCCTGATGGGAAGTTTTGTGTTACCAAGAGCAACACTAAAATCACTGAAATGTTTTTAAAAGGGGGGAAGGATAGAAACAGGGTAGAAGAATGGTTGCTAAGACTGGCGGAAAGGGAAGTGGGGAGCTGTTTGTCGAAGAGTACAAAGTTTCAGTTGTGCAAGATGAATCAGCTCTGGAGATCTAATGTACACAGAGTGGTGACTGTAGCTAACAATACAGTATTGTGTACTTGACATATGCTTAGATCTGAAGTGTTCTCACCACACACACACACACACACAGTAACCGTGCAAGTGACAGATATGTTAATTTGCTCGATTGTGGGATCATTTCACAATGTATATGTTTATCAAAAGGTCAAGTTGTAGATCTTAGATATACACAATTACTACTTGTCAATTATACCTCAGTAAAGCTGAACAAAAAGAGGGGTGTTGGGGGATATTGAACTTTTGGAATGATAGATATGAGCTGACCATGGAAGGTAAGCTCTAAAACGTCAAGGATCTTTGTCTTTTTCTTTCCCCATTTTTGTATCTCTAGCACCTAGTTTATAGTAAACATTCAAAAATTACTTGTTTAATAATTTGCATCCCTAACACATTTCCTTTTAAGACTCAGAGAGTGAATATTTTTGAGTTTGTTGGCCATACAGATTGTATAGCAGCTATCCAACTGCAGTCTTCATGAGAAACTAGCATAGCCAATATAAGAAAATGCATCGTTCTGTTCCAGTAAAACTTCTTTTACAAAAACAGCTGGCTAGCCTACTAGCAGTGGCTTGCCAAACCCTGGTCTGGACTCTTCTACTCCTGCTAATGCAGTTCCTTGGGTGTTCAACATTTTAGAAATTGATACTTCAAGCTTGTGAAAAAGAGATACTATGGCCGTGTGGAATCATGCCTTGAAAATTACATTAGAACCTTTTTGCTTATATGAGAGATCAATAGAAATGATGAATTCATGATTATTATCTATATTTCTCTCTTTTGGAGGTTGTGATTCTTTTGTGAGCACCACTAATTATATTGGAAGAGTCTCTCCAATCCCATATTTCATGTTGATCATAGCTTTGGGAATAAGTAGTAATCTCTCGTGGGGTAGAATAAGTAGAGGTCTTTCCCATCTGCTTGTTTTCAGTTTAAATGTTTATTTGCCCTATAACTGTAATATTTTCATTACCAGAATCACTTAGAAAAAAACATACAATAAAAAAATCTGCCTCAAAACTTTGCTCTATTTAATTCAGCAAGAAAGACTATGAGCCTCAGGATACGTAAGTTTTACTGTACTTCTTAAAGAACTAAACTTTAGTTCTTTAAAGTTCAGTGGCAAACCCTGCTTTTGTGATTCCACATTCTCTCAGCCACTGCATCCACACCTTCAACCCCTGCATGTCACTGCAGTAAGTGTTGGTGAAGGTGCAACGACCACAACAACAACCCTCCACAGAGAGAGATACCCTCGAAAAGAGAACAAGGATGCACTAAGATCCTCTGCTTCTAATTTATTAATGTTTTTTACATTGTATCAGTTAAGTTTTCTGTGTCAACTTGTCTGAGCCATGGGATGTCCAGGTATTTATTCGAATATAATTCTGAGTGTTTAATATTTGAATCAGCAGACTAAGTAGAGGAGATTGCCCTTTCTAATGTGGGTGGACCTCATTCAATCAGCTGAAGGCCTAAATAGAACAACATGGCATAAGTTCTACCTAGTAACACCTGAAGGCCTTCAAAGTGCGATATCAGCTTATTTCCTGCTTTGGACTGAAACTAAGCCATAGGCACTTGTGGGTTTCCAGCTTTCTAACTCACCCAGCAGATCTTGGGACTTGCCAGCCTGCATAATCATATGAGTCAATTCCTTATAATAAATTTCTTTCTACATCTTATTGTTTCTCTGAACAACCCTGACACATCATCTCTCTTTAAATATAGATATGTTAAATATATATAATATATATATAATACGTATATATATACACGTGTGTGTGTGCGTGTGTGTGTGTGTGTGTGTATATATATATATATATGAAAGGAACGTGCTACTCCCATAGAGAGGAAAATGTGGTTGGTATCCTAAATTGGAACATCAATGTTTTCCTAGTATACTCTGATAAAGCCAAATTATAAATATGTTTATTTAACATTTTCATGTTTTTATAGAAAATAAACATTATAAAAACATTTTCAAAATAGAAGAACATTCAACCTTCCACACAATTCGCTAACAACCCTTGGGAGACCATACAGAAGCAGTTTATACATCACGATCTTCCTCATTCTTTTTAGCTTGTTGCCCTATTTCTTAAGGTTTAGACTGATTTTTTTTAAGTCTCTGGCTTGTGGATATATGCTGATTTGTTTCATTTATTTAATGGAAATTAAACAAATTAAATAAACAGAAAGACATTGAAAAGCACTGACATTAGTGATGAGCTTAAAGAAACCAAGACATTTGGTTGAAATAAGGTGCTATTGAAATATCTGGAACGAAAAAACTCTTTGTATTTCAAGGCTGTTTAGAAAACAAGGCATAAATCTTTTCTTGATAAGAGGAACAAATCAATAGAAAACAAAACACATGTATATGTTTCTGATAGCATTACAAATGGGGACTAGAACACATAGGTCAACCTATTGTTCAGGAAAAGCCATTCAGCTCTGTTGTGTACAGAGAATATAATTCAGGAATTTTGATAATTTTTGAAGTACTTCTTTTTTTTAAGTATCTCTAACCTCTCCTCTATGAGTTGAAAATTTGATAGGTTATCTTACTTTTAACAGTTAGATTTCCCTGCAAAGTGCTGAAACAGAAAAAGAGCACATTGTCTCTACTTATAATTGAGGAAAAACTATGCTGACATTCATTGTCACTAGACAAAGTCATTTTTTTTAAGAACAGGTAAATAACTAGAAAATATGGAACTGTAGCAACGAGGGAAGAAAATAACTGTGATCCCACATATTGAATATTAAACAAATAGGTAATGATAAAAGAGTTATGAGCCTATAGATTATGCAGTGAAGCAAATTTCTATCAGATCTTGACTTGGTTTATACCTTTGTTAGTAAGAAAAATAACAAAAAATTATCTTTACATTATACTCTCTCTTCTATTATAATGGAGAGTTTCTTTTCTTCTTTTATAGTTCTGCTGAAAAATCATAGTGATTTGCTACTTGAAAGAGAATTAACATTGTGAAAAAATGAATTCCTCACTAAAACTTTTTTAGCTCCATACTATCGATAGACATAATGTGTGTGGTTCTGAAAGCAATTGCACATAAAAGCAGAGAAAGGCATGTGTCCTACTTTCCCTCTTCTGAGGCCCAGTAGAGTTCAGCCTTGCAAAGCAAGCCTCCATCACTTCACTTCATGTATTTACTTGTTTTTAAATCTATACATAATAATTTTACATACCTATAGGGTGAATGTGATATTTCCATACATCTGTAGATGGTATAATGATTAAATCAGGGTAATTAACATATTCTTTACCTAAAACATTTATTAATTCTTTGTTCTCCATAACCTCCTTTTAAAGTGGATTTTGGGAGGCTGGGCAAGGTGGCTCATACCTGTAATTTATGAAGGTAATTTTTATAAAGGTAAAATTTATAAAGGTAATCAGAAGAGTGGGTTTGCAAAACCATGACCAATTCTTAAAAAGTTATCTTCAGAAATCAGAAAGGTGACTGAAAGATGGTCTATATGGAGCAGTTTCAATATGCTAGAGGAACATCTGAATGATCTCTAACTTACTGATTTTGTAATATTATTCACAGGAAGAATATTATTTATGTAATGGCTTTTTTCCCCAAAAGGGTGAACCTTTCCACCTATTTTTACAATGTCGCTTTAGTAATAATAACTAAATTCCCACATTTAATAGAAGTGAAGGGAAACATACAGGCTCAGGATCCATCTTTAGGTGGTAACACGTCTACATTCATCAGTCCTCTGCTATATATAACGGCTACCTTATTATACCAGAGTTTGTGTAGACACCTATAGGATGCTGTGGGAAAGGGGATGTTAGACTGAGCACAAGGAAACCTGAATTCTAGTACTGTATTCACCTATTTTTGGACTGTGGATGACCAAAGGTAACTGAAACCATGGAAAGCAAAACCCGTGGATAAGTGGGGAACTACGGTACAGGTTCTTCTAACTTGTTCTGTGACGCTTGGCAAGTTTACTAATTTCTATGAGACGATCAATTATTTTTCTTTTCTTATTTTAATAAAGGGCTTGGTCTTGTCTTGAGTAATGGTTTTCAATCTTTGACATTCAAGGCCCCTGAAAGTTCTTCAGAAGTGTCTTGAAGATGAGCCATTCTGGGGGAAAATACATCTGGTCTGCTTGAGCCAGAGCGATTCTACTTGTAGTTATTTTTCATATTGGCATCTATAAAAGATATAATTGGAATAAGCAATTCACTAGTAAAACCTTCTATAGTCACTTTTTCCATAGTCTCTGTAGTCTGTTTAGCTGTATGAATGCATTAATTATTTCCTATATTGATGAATTTAGAAATAAAGTAAAACAATAATAAAAAACCAGTCCACATAGTACTTACCAAATGCAAGGACTCTTTTTAAGAGCTTGAAATAAGGTAACACACTTATATTTCACAGAAAACCTACAAGAATAGTCTTATACATATTCCCACTTGCAGATGAGAAAGTGGAGTGTTTAATTTACTTGCTTAAGTTCAAACCCAGGCCTGCTGGGCCTATATTCTATCTCTTAACCCTACCCTGTTGCCAGGACCCGGCTGCATTGCAGCGGGACACATATAGGATGGTGGGGACTGGAGAGTCCATTTCTAACCATACAGGTTTATTTAACTCAAGATTTTGTTTTTGTGTTCTTAGGGTTTGTGTACATTATTTACATTAGAGAAAACAAAAATGGAAAGATTTGTGTGTGGAGCCATTTCTCTGTGACGTAAACATTTGACACCATTTGTCTCATCTTTGCTGCAGCTGAAGGAACAAATGTTTGTGAAGAAGCGGCTTTGAAAATCGAAGATAATTCAGTTGAGATTTTCATAGATGCCTTATTTCTGACATTTTAAAAAATCTGTATGACCTTGGACAAATTATTTAATGTCTCTGAACTTATATTTCCTCATCAATTCTATCTTGGGATTATATTTGAAAAGTCCACCTACTGAATTTTCTATAATAAAATGAGATATAAAAGTATACACTATAAATTGTAAAACTTTAATATTTCTTATTCCTTTTCCTCCTCTCCTCTTCCTCTTCCTATTCTTTTCTCATTTTGATTATGATGGTGACGTGGCTAAAAGTAATTTTTCTACTTACCAGATATTTATCTTGAATGGATCTTGTTTAAAAGCACTTAATTTATCCTTCAAAACTTTTCTTGCTGAAGATACTAATGCAAAGTTTGCGTGTTAGAGATAATTTGGATATCCTTCTAGCAAATTAGTCAGCTTCATGTCCTCTTCCAAGTAACTGGAGAAAACATCCTAAGAGTTGTATTAAGGCCATGGGCTATGAATCTACTCTTTTGAAACTATTTCCTCCTCTTTTGTTATTCAGAGATACTTGACAGCCATTTAATAATCTCAAAAGAAAAACAAAGTTGGTGGATTGATAATAGGTCCACAGAGAACTTTTGACATCTTCCTAGGATTCCTAATATCCCTCTATTGTTGAAGAGTGCCCATGGTGTGAGGGCTTAGCAATAACTCATGCCATGCCTTACCCTTTTTCCTTTGATTATGCTTTCATTTATTTTTGTGATGTGCTCCTCTTTCTCTTATTCCTACTAATTCTTCAAGGCTAGTGTTTTCCTTTCTGACCATTCCTAGATTCTCACAATTCAGGCATGGTCTCAAGATTGAGGTCTCAAGACTCCTTGATGGCCTCACAATCCTTTTGTCACATTTCCTTTATTGAACTTGTCACGTAGTATTATAATTACCTTATATTGAATATTTCTCCTGAAACTGGCCATTTGCTTCTCAAGAGAAATGACTATGTCATGAATATATTTGTGTACTCTCTTTGCATCACATAGTGCCTGATACCTAATGGAAGATCAGACAATGTGTGAATTAGTTAATGGTTATGTCAAAACCCAAACCTGTTACCTGCACCAATTCCACTTGCTTATTCCATTGCTTACTCTAGAGCAAGCATAAATGCTCTGGAGTTGTTTTATTTTTAGACTGAATTCTACTCTACAATGTTGGCACTGATGGATGCCAGACTATTTAAGAAAATAATGTTTTTTGTGCCTGCTCTGATGGCACTTGAACTTTTTATTAATGATTTTAATTGAAACAAACAACCAGTAAATAATTGGTGATTTGAGAAATTCCTGACTTCCCATTTTTTTCAGTAATTTAAATTATTGATATTATTTGCTATAGTGCTGGCAATTTAACCAAGTGTCCTGCCAAGTTAGTAATTAAAATATAAATTGGTTTTATGAATCAAAGTACTTCCTTTCTGGATAAATAAATCCTCAGAAACACTGGCAGTTGGCATCAACTGTATTTGTAAAGTCAAATGAGAAAACATTATTTGCAATTGTAGAAAGACTAACGATTAGAGGTGTTCAGGTTTGTATTGACAGAATTACTCTAAACAGAAATAGTCTAATCTAAACACTATCATCTATTGTGATAAAATTTGCCAGAAACCCTGCACTATCAAGCATTTTTTTCTTCATATTCATCCATTTTAAAAATCAGACAATCCAGCATCCAAATGCTTGTGTTTATTTATAAATCTATTATTTCAAACTCAGGGAAATAAGCATGTCTCCTAATGGTCATGTTATCTTTCTATCTGTGTCATGCTTACTTTACATAGATGACACCTGGTGGATGTACTACACTAAAAACATTGGATGACCTCAGCATCAGATGTAGGATGATACTGCCTCAAAACGTTAACTTTAAACACTCAACATTCGTGTTCCACAGGGAACTAGGTAGAGTTTCCTTTCCTCCTACCTATTAGATAATGGGAATGGAGACAACCTTGAGGCATTAATTCCTTAGAAAGAAAACCAGGTTCTAAAATGAGGAGTACTAGAGAGTGAGTAGAGAGTGAGACTTTTCAGAGGGGCTTAGGGTAGGGATTCGTAGTGAGAATCTGGAGATGTGAAAAGGGAATGAAAGCTATAAGTATCAGAACACGAGACACGGTTCACCACCATATGAATATAGTTGCTTTTTAAATTTTCCTAACATTTCTCTTCGCCCTTACTAAGAATAGAAAGGGGAAGGGATAAGTGACAGAACGGGGGATCTTTCTCTCCTTTTCAGTCATATCCTTGTTGAGGTTGATTTGACCGAATATGACTCTTGTAAGAATAGTTCTAGTTCATAGTGTACGGATACTTTCCTTCCCAAAATATCATTTAGGTCTTACCTTTTCCTTCTAGTTTTGCTGAAAGTCAACTAGAACATTCCAACTACCTCTCCTTTTAAATAAAATGAGATTCAGACCCTTTCTTCTAGTCATTAATGTGCTATCTCTGGTGGTCTGGTGTCTCTTCTGCAAATTGCAGCCTAAATATGGAGAGAAGAAGCTGGCACTCTTATGGTGAGATTGTATGCAGGGCTTTTATACCTGGACCAGAGGTTCTCTATCCCTACTCCTTTATTTAATCTTTTATAGTTTAGGACTAGTAACCCATGCACATAGTATATGATTTAGTCCACGTGTGTTTAAAAAAAAATGTTTCTCAAATTGATTAGGCTAGGAAAAGTGATGAGATTAAAAATTAAGTTCACTTCAGAAAACAGAAAGGGAGGATCCTGACTGGACTATTGTCATGGGCCCATTATCTGGCAACCCAAGTAGACATAGGTGATTAGATTCCAAGAGTGAAGTATGAATCCAAGAATAAAAGTGTTAAGGAAAATAATCCATCTCTGTTATTTATCAAATGTTGACATCTTGGTGCAATAGCTCTTTGGATGTAGAACCAGCTATGTTCACCTGGCTACAGAGACTAACACCCTAGAATAATGTGCTACATGGCTAGGCCACCCGAAGCCTGCAAAATGCCAGAGGCAGTGTTTGTATGTAGGGGTGTGTGTGTGTGTGCACACGCATGCGCGTGTGTGTGCATGCATGTGCACACATTATAGCATTTTAGGTAGGTGTTGTGCTCTTACAGGAAGAGAGAGAAAAACAGAGGGATAGAAGACAATGGCAGAGAGAACAGGGAGCAGCAGATTCCATTGTGAGGTCATCATAGCTGAGTGCTAAAGGGATCTAAATATTGAAGTGAGGAAGACAAATGATAGAAGGATGAAGGTGCTCTTCTTTTCTGCTAGTTTAAACTTATCATTATAGCTACACAAATGCTGTCATTCAATCTGGATCTTAATTAAAGAGAGAGAGAGAAAGAGACAGTGACTGGATGTGGGGTATAGCAAAGAGAGCTCAGTAATATGAACTCGAATTGCAAAGTTAGGGGATAGAGGGTAAGAATTCACTCTCTCATATACCCAGAGATACAGAACTGTTCATGCAGCCGCAGGATAGAGATGTCATTTTTAGGTAACATAAATCTAGACAAATGGGAGAGATGGCTTGCAGTATCGAAATCAGAAGTAGTTTCAATAGGAGGAAGCAATATTACATTTTTCCTTTAAAATAGGCTGTATTTACTATTTAAAAAAATGTTTATTACTATTAATAATAAACTAGGTGAAGAAATGCATATTCTTTGGGAAACCTGTCAAGTTTCCTACCCTAAACTATTATAATTCTCCCCCAAAATTTCTTAACAAACTCCCTTAAGGTCAAATGGAAACCTCCAGAGGTCTCAAGCCAACAGAAGCAACATATATGTGAAGGGTTATTTCAGAAAGGGGGTTTTGGAAGGGGTTTTCGAAGAGGAAAGGAATATAGAAGGGGAAAGGGTAAAATCTATGCACAATATGAAATGACTCCACCCTGGTCTTTCAAAATGTTAGTGAAGATAATACACTCACAGAATATTATAAGAAAGTTTTTTGAGGGAAGGAAAGTGTTAAGCTTCATTTTTAACTTGATGCAGGTGAAATTGTGTCAGCATATTTGGAGCAGAAGTACACAAAAAGGGTGAGAGAAGGAAGTGTACAAAATTTGAAAAAGAAGCTGTGTGGAGATGGATAGTGAGTTCGAGTAGGACACGACATTGGGTGTTCAATCCAAATTTAATCTTATCTCCAGTGGGCTCTCAGCTGACAGGTGGTTAACAGTAAATTTGGAGTCACATACTTATTTTTGTTTCAAATGTATGTGTATGGATGTACACTTATATGTAGCTGAGGCCTTCTTACTAAATACAAAATATCTCATTTTCATGACACTTATATTTTATTCTAAAAAACCTAAAAACATAGAAGCAAACTTAATTTTAATTTACTATTTTATAAAATGAATGAGGGATGTTTTATCTTTCAATTTCCCTATTTGGATTTGTTTTCAAATTAGTTTGGGTTTACATTTCACATTGTAATAAACAACCATGCATTTACATAGTTATAAATCTGATGATCTCCTTTTCAGAAATTCCTGGAAGTATTACAATACATAACATTTTTTAAGTTCTTGATGTTTATTGACAAATTACTTTCTAGAAACTTACTGCTTTCTACTCTCACCGGAAACTGGAAACTATTTTTATCCTCTTGTCATTGAAATGGGACACTATCTCATTCTGATATTTGCTAATTTGGTAAATTAATATGTTTAAATTTATATTTGCATATTAATAAGCTCATGTAGTTTGAGTGAGTTTGTTAGTTTTTCAAATGGTCTTGGTAGGTTTACAATAGATTTGTATGAGCTTTTGTATATTAATGGATAATGAATATCACGAAAGGTTTCAGATATATTAAATAGGGATATCTTCACATAACTGTCTTTGAAAGGGTTTCTGTCAGTCTTAAATGAAATAACTTCTTTATAACCCCTGGAAGAGTTCCTTGCATTTAGAAGTATTATATGTGTTAGCTTTTTATTGCTGTTAGTACTTCACTTACAAATTCATCAACTATAAAAAATAATTCACGGATGCTTACAGCTAAAAAGAGCTTAGCAATTACGAAGAAAAGTGGTAATAGAAATTTTTACTGGTGGATCACTTATTCTAATGATATAAAATGCATTTTTAAAAAAGAACTACAAGTATAACCCTTCCGGCTCAAGTGGGCAGGGGTTCCAGGGTACCACCAACTTGACTTGGCTTTTCCTTTGTTCCCAGAGTGACCCATCTTCAAAGCATCTCTGAAGGGACTTTGGTGCCATTGAACATCAAAGACTGAACACTGTTACCACAGACCAAGTCCCTTATTTTTTTAAAAAGACACAACCAACCCAGAGAGGCAAATTAGCCCTTGGTTATACAAGAAGTTGTAAGAAGCAGCATATCTCTTATGTCTTTTCTTTGCAGTTGCTACAGAGTAAAAGAAAATCAATTCGGTGTATTCTCCAGGAGTATGGAGGAAAACAGCCCTTATTTCAAAAAATTTTGGAAGGAAGAAAACCAAAATAATTTGTGTGGTCATTGTTTTGTAATACTGATGGTGAAATGCATGTGAATTATCCAGACACATCTTTATTTCAGCCATCCTAAAATTTTGACTAGAATTACATATTAAACTCTAATTGCATAAATGTAATTAAAATATCAGCTCATCAATGATTCATATTTAAAACACACAAATCTTTCAAAGAAGTATCAATTATATGAACTTACATGACAAGAATAAAAAAATGACAATTAGGTATCAGAAGAAATCTCAAAGTCACATGAATGGCAATATTTTTCTTTTCCTAAGGAAGCTAAGAACATTTATTATTACCTGATTACTAACCTTTTATTTTCATGACTTAGAAGAAAACTAGTTAAGAAATCATAGTACTTTTGCTTACTCTTCCCAAACACAGTGTGTCAATAAACATTTATTGCTATATTTCTTACATAAAAGGGATATTTTAGGTGATAAGTGTTTGTTTTAATGTTGCATACATACACAACAAACAAAATGCTAATTTTCAGCAAGTTTGATATGCTTTATTTTTGCTTCCTCCCCTGAATTTGCTTTGTGAGATTATTATACAGGTTATGATTTTGGGGGCCTTGGAAACCTAAGTAGGACTTTATTCTTTTCTTTGAATTTGAGAGTTTAACTACATGTACGTAACAATGTGCAATCCATCTTTATGCAAATAGTCTAAAAAGGCAATGTGCCTGAAGGGCTGTTTTATGGCATTATTTGGTTTTATATCTTTGCAATCAACACTATGCAGCTAACATGGCCATGTAAATTCATGAGAGATTTTTCTATTGAAACCCAAACAAGGTCACCTGCTTTTGAAGATCAGAGTGAGATAAAAGTGACACTGTTTCTACAGTGGTACTAAAAAATAATGTGTAAAGCCTCTTTAAAAAAAAATACTATTGATTTTGTCTGTGAAAATATGTCATTGATTTTTTTTTTTCAAGTTTGGATTTTCATTGCTAATTCTAATGAGGGAATTTGAGATGAGTTGTGCAATGAGCTATTTATACTTATTTCCTTTTACATACTATTCCCTAAAACATTTAAAAAGGTTCAAAACCTGTATTCTTTTCAATGGCCACAGATTTTTCAGGTACCACATTTATGCATGAAGGTGAGTTTGCATCTTATATGACTTTATGCGTCTTTAGGATACATTCTATGATATATGCTACAGGACAGATTTGCAACATTTATAAAAATCAACTGGCCAATATACTTAATGAGATTTATTTTCTTTTGTCTTTTGTTTAGAGGTGGAGTGACTTCCTTTGTCTCTCCTCTTCTTCCCTCTTTTCATAGTGTCATTTTTTTCTTAAAGGTATACAAAATGAAGTTCACATTCACTTACATGTATGCTTTGTATTGCACCAGCATATGGGTTTCTGCTAATCTATCTACTGAATGTGTGTTTTGCTCCATCTTATGTGGGTAGCTTTTAACAGACAGCATAAACTAGCTTACCCAGAGATTAAGCTCAAGACTTTCTCCTTATTATCCTGGTGTATTTATACACTAGAATGCTCATCTATTATCCCACAATTGTAACACTGATAGTTCTAATAGGACCTATGCTAAGCACTTTATGGATTACCTAGTTCATTCTCAATAATCTTATGCCAAAGTACTATTATTTTGTAATCTTATCTACAAGAAAACTGAGGCAGAGCATATATAAGTAGCTTGTCAATGTCCAGGATGCTAGAATGTGGCAGAGCTGGCATTACCAATCACAGCTTTCACCCTCATCTACTGCATCATAAAACATCACCTAAATTCATGAGCCCCAGGCCCTCAACTATATTTAGAACAAAATAAATTGTAGAGATGGGAAAAGAGAAGGGCCACATTGAAATTTAAGTGTTTTTTGCCAATTCTGGTGAGTTCCGTAGAAGTTCTCACAGTGCAGACAGAGCCCTTGCAGGAGAATGAGAACCACTTGCCTGAGTGTCAGAAATGCTGGGACTGAACTTCCATCTCATTTTTTAATAATTATAAGGAAATGTTGGGGTAAGGCACTTCACCTTTTTGAGACTCAGTTAAGAATAAAGACCTTTACTTTTTCCCATCTAAATCATAAGCAGGTTATGAGGCAATAAATATATTAAGTGCAGGCAAAGTATAAAGTATAATATAATTATAAGGGATTACAGGTGAGGAAAAAAGTCTCTGTCAGGCCTCTGAGCCCAAGCCAAGCCATCACATCCCCTGTGACTTGCACGTATACGCCCAGATGGCCTGAAGTAACTGAAGAATCACAAAAGAAGTGAATATGCCCTGCCCCACCTTAACTGATGACATTCCACCACAAAAGTGTAAATAGCCGGTCCTTGCCTTAAGTGACGACATTACCTTGTGAAAGTCCTTTTCCTGGCTCATCCTGGCTCAGAAAGCACCCCCACTGAGCACCTTGCGACCCCCACTCCTGCCCGCCAGAGAACAAAACCCCTTTGACTGTAATTTTCCTTTACCTTCCCAAAACCTATAAAACAGTGCCACCCTTATCTCCCTTCGCTGACTCTCTCTTTGGACTCAGCCCGCCTGCACCCAGGTGAAATAAACAGCCATGTTGCTCACACAAAGCCTGTTTGGTGGTCTCTTCACGCCGACGCACATGAAATTTGATGCCGTGACTTGGATCTGGGGACCTCCCTTGGGAGATCAATCCCCTGTACTCCTGTTCTTTGCTCCGTGAGAAAGATCCACCTATGGCCTCAGGTCCTCAGACTGACCAGCCCAAGGAACATCTCATCAATTTTAAATCAGGTAAGCGGCCTCTTCTTACTCTCTTCTCCAGCCTCTCTCACTGTCCCTCAACCACTTTCTCCTTTCCACTCTTCAATCTCTCCCTTCTCTTAATTTCAATTCCTTTCATTTTCTGGGAGAGACAAAGGAGACACGTTTTATCCGTGGACCCAAAACTCCGGTGCCGGTCACGGACTGGGAAGGCAGCCTTCCCTTGGTGTTTAATCATTGCAGGGACACCTCTCTGATTATACACCCACGTTTCACGGGTGTCAGACCACGCAGGGACGCCTGCCTTGGTCCTTCACCTTTAGCGGCAAGTCCCGCTTTTCTGAGGGAGGGGCAAGTACCCCTCAACCCCTTCTCTTTCACCCTTAGCGGCAAGTCCCGCTTTTCTAGGGGGCAAGAATGTCCAATACCTTATTTCCGCACCCCAACCTAGTATCTCCATGCCCCAATCCTTTATTTCCATGCCCCGACCCCTTATTTCCGTGCCCCGACCCCTTATTTCTGCACCCCATCCCTTATTTCCGTGCCCCGAACTCTTATATCTGCACCCCAACCCCTTTTCTCACTTTTCTGAAAGGTAAGAATCCCTGAACCCCTTCCCTCCGTTTCTCTACTCTCTCTTTTCTCGAGGCTTGCTTCCTCCACTATAGGCAAACTTCCACCCTCCATTCCTCCTTCTACTCCCTTGGCCTGTGTTCTCAAAAACTTAAAACCTCTTCAACTCACACCTGACCTAAAACCTAAATGCCTTATTTTCTTCTGCAATGCCGCTTGACCCCAATACAAACTCAACAGTAGTTCCAAATAGCCAGAAAATGGAACTTTGAATTTCTCCATCCTGCAAGATCTAAATAATTCTTGTCATAAAATAGGCAAATGATCTGAGGTGCCTGACGTCCAGGCATTCTTTTACACATCAGTCCCTTCCTAGTCTCTGTGCCCAGTGCAACTCATCCCAAATCTTCTTTCCCTCCCACCTGTCCCCTCAGTCCCAATCCCAAGCGTCGCTGAGTCTTTCTAATCTTCCTTTTCTACAGACCTATCTGACCTCTCCCCTCCTCGCCAGCCCGAGCTAGGTCCCAATTCTTCCTCAGCCTCCGCTCCTCCACCCTATAATCTTTTTATCGCCTCCCCTCCTCACACCTGGTCGGGCTTACAGTTTCGTTCTGTGACTAGCCCTCCCCCACCTGCCCAGCAATTTACTCTTAAAAAGGTGGCTGGAGCCAAAGGCATAGTCAAGGTTAATGCTCCTTTTTCTTTATCCCAAATCAGAACCGTTTAGGCTCTTTTTCATCAAATATAAAAATCCAGCCCAGTTCATGGATCGTTTGGCAGCAACCCTGAGACACTTTACAGCCCTAGACCCTAAAAGGTCAAAAGGCTGTCTTATTCTCAATATACATTTTATTATCCAATCTGCTCCCCACATTAAATAAAACTCCAAAAATTAAATTCCGGCCCTCAAACCCCACAACAGGATTTAACTAACCTCGCCTTCAAGGTGTACAATAATAGAAAAAAGTTGCAATTCCTTGTCCCCACTGTGAGACAAACCCCAGCCGCATCTCCAGCACACAAGAACTTCCAAACGCCTGAACCGCAGCGGCCAGGTGTTCCTCCAGAACCTCCTCCCCCAGGAGCTTGCTACAAGTGCCAGAAACGTGGCCACCAGGCCAAGGAATGCCTGCAGCCCAGGATTCCTCCTAAGCCACGTCCCATCTGTGCCGGACCCCACTGGAAATCGGACTGTCCAACTCACCTGGCAGCCACTCCCAGAGCCCCTGGAACTCTGGCCCAAGGCTCTCTGACTGCTTCCCAGATCTTCTTGGCTTAGCGGCTGAAGACTGACGCTGCCTGATTGCCTCGGAAGCCCCCTAGACCATCACGGATGCCCAGCTTCAGGTAACTCTCACAGTGGAAGGTAAGCCCGTCCCCTTCTTAATCAATACGGAGGCTACCCACTCCACATTACCTTCTTTTCAAGGGCCTTTTTCCCTTGCCTCCACAGCTGTTGTCGGTATTGATGGCCAGGCTTCTAAACCTCTTAAAACTCCCCAACTCTGGGGCCAACTTAGACAATACTCTTTTAAGCACTCCTTTTTAGTTATCCCCACCTGCCCAGTTCCCTTATTAGGCTGAGACACTTTAACTAAATTGTCTGCTTCCCTGACTATTCCTGGACTACAGCTGCATCTCATTGCTGCCCTTCTTCCCAATCCAAAGCCTCCTTTGCATCCTCCTCTTGTATCCCCCAAACTTAACCCGCAAGTATAAAATACCTCTACTCCCTCCTTGGTGACTGATCATGCACCCCTTATCATCTCATTAAAACCTAATCACCCTTACGCCACTCAACCCCAATATCCCATCCCGCAGCACGCTTTAAAAAGATTAAAGCCTGTTATCACTCGCCTGCTACAGCACGGCCTTTTAAAGCCTATAAACTCTCCTTACAATTCCCCCATTTTACCTGTCCTAAAACCAGACAAGCCTTACAAGTTAGTTGAGGATCTGCGCCTTATTAACCAAATTGTTTTGCCTATCCACCCAGTGGTGCCAAACCCATATATTCTCCTATCCTCAATACCTGCCTCTATAACCCATTATTCTGTTCTGGATCTCAAACATGCTTTCTTTACTATTCCTTTGCACCCTTAATCCCAGCCTCTCTTCACTTTCACTTAGACTGACCCTGACACCCATCAAGCTCAGCAAAATACCTAGGCTGTACTGCTGCAAAGCTTCACAGACAGCCCCCATTACTTCAATCAAGCCCAAATTTCTTCCTCATCTGTTACCTATCTCGGCATAATTCTCATAAAAACACACGTGCTCTCCCTGCTGATCGTGTCCGACTAATCTCTCAAACCCCAGCACCTTCTACAAAACAACAACTCCTTTCCTTCCTAGGCATGGTTAGTGCGGTCAGAATTCTTACACAAGAGCCAGGACCACACCCTGTAGCCTTTCTGTCCAAACAACTTGACCTACTGTTTTAGCCTAGCCCTCATGTCTGCGTGCAGTGGCTGCCGCTGCATTAATACTTTTAGAGGCCCTCAAAATCACAAACTATGCTCAACTCACTCTCTACAGTTCTCATAACTTCCAAAATCTATTTTCTTCCTCATACCTGATGCATATACTTTCTGCTCCCCGGCTCCTTCAGCTGTACTCACTCTTTGTTGAGTCTCCCTCAATTCCATTGTTCCTGGCCCAGACTTCAATCCAGCCTCCCACATTATTCCTGATACCACACCTGACACCCAGGACTGTATCTCTCCGATCCACCTGACATTCACCCCATTTCCCCAAATTTCCTTCTTTCGTGTTCCTCACTCTGATCACACTTGATTTATTGATGGCGGTTCCACCAGGCCTAATCGCCACACACCAGCAAAGGCAGGTTATGCTATAGTACAAGCCACTAGCCCACCTCTTAGAACCTCTCATTTCCTTTCCATCGTGGAAATCTATCCTCAAGGAAATAACTTCTCAGTGTTCCATCTGCTATTCTACTACTACTCAAGGATTATTCAGGCCCCCTCCCTTCCCTACACATCAAGCTCGAGGATTTGCCCCCACCCAGGACTGGCAAATTAGCTTTACTCAACATGTCCTGAGTCAGATAACTAAAATACCTCTTAGTCTAGGTAGATAATTTCACTGGATAGGTAGAGGCCTTTCCCACAGGGTCTGAGAAGGCCACCTCAGTCATTTCTTCCTTTCTGTCAGACATAATTCCTCAGTTTAGCCTTCCCACCTCAACACACTCTTATAACAGACCAGCCTTTATTAGTCAAATCAGCCAAGCAGTTTTTCAGGCTGTTAGTATTCAGTGAAACCTTTATATCCCTTACGGTCCTCCATCTTCAAGAAAAGTAGAATGGACTAAAGATCTTTTAAAAACACACCTCACCAAGCTCAGCCACCAACTTAAAAAGGACTGGACAATACTTTAACCACTTTCCCTTCTCAGAATTCAGGCCTGTCCTCGGAATGCTACAGGGTACTGCCCATTTGAGCTCCTGTATAGACGCTCCTTTTTATTAGGCCCCAGTCTCATTCCAGACACCAGACCAACTTAGACTGTGCCCCAAAAAACTTGTCATCCCTATTATCTTCTGTCTAGTCATACTCCTATTCACCGTTCTCAACTACTCATACATGCCCTGCTCTTGTTTACACTGCCGGTTTACAGTTTCTCCAAGCCATCACAGCTGATATCTCCTCGTGCTATCCCCAAACTGCCACTCTTAACTCTTGAAGTAAATACATAATCTTTGCTGGCAGGACTATGCTGAATCTCCTTAGGCACTATCTAATCAGATATCCTGAGTTGTCCCAATTCTTAGAACTTTTATACCTGTTTTTCTCCTTCTGTTATTCCATTTAGTTTCTCAATTCATCCAAAACCATATCCAGGCCATAACCAATAATTCTACACAACAAATGTTTCTTCTAACAACCCCACAATATCACCCCTTACCACAAGACCTCCCTTCAGCTTAATCTCTCCCACTCTAGGTTCCCACGCTGCCCCTAATCCCGCTTGAAGCAGCCCTGAGAAACATCACCCATTCTCTCTCCATATCACCCCCCAAAAATTTTCACTGCCCCAACACTTCAACACTATTTTGTTTTATTTTTCTTATTAATATAAGAAGGCAGGAATGTCAGGCCTCTGAGCCCAAGCCAAGCCATTGCATCCCCTGTGACTTGCACATATAAGCCCAGATGGCCTGAAGTAACTGAAGAATCACAAAAGAAGTGAATATGCCCTGCCCCACCTTAACTGATGACATTCCACCACAAAAGAAGTGTAAATGGCCGGTCCTTGCCTTAAGTGATGACATTACCTTGTGAAAGTCCTTTTCCTGGCTCATCCTGGCTCAAAAAACACCCCCACTGAGCACCTTGGGACCCCCACTCCTGCCCGCCAAAGAACAAACCCCCTTTGACTGTAATTTTCCTTTACCTACCCAAATCCTATAAAACAGCCCCACCCCTATCTCCCTTCGCTGACTCTCTTTTTGGACTCAGCCTGCCTGCACCCAGGTGAAATAAACAGCCATGTTGCTCACACAAAGCCTGTTTGGTGGTCTCTTCACATGCACGAGCATGAAAGTCTCTTTAAAAGATGATTTGAAAAAGTGAAAACAATTTTAGAAAAGTACAGAGATTTACAGAAGTGCATACTCATGACCTAGGATTAACTATATTTATATTTGTCATTTTTGCAATAGTTTAGAAATAAAATAGAATCCCTTTTTTTCCTATCTTAAAGTTCATTTCCCTACCTTCCCACTCTGAGTGAACCAATGTGATGAATTTGATGAGTGTTCCATTAGACCATGTTTGTACTGAAATTCTGTTTCTATAAGTAATGTGTTTCATTATGTTTTTACAAAGTTATATAAATGCTGTCAGTCAATACAGAGCAACTTATTCTTGCAACTTAATTTTTTATTCCACGCTGTGTTTTTAGCTCTTCTCTGTACATTTCTATACCTCTGATTCAAGTGTATGAACATTTCACAAATATTTATCCATTCTCCCACTGATGAACAATTGATTAATCCCAAATTTTGTTATGCTTTAACATGCGTACATCTCCAGATACACCCATGGAAAAATCTCTCTCTTCATTTACCCTAGATTGGAGGCACACCAAGGTTTAAGACCCAGTGCCCTGATGTGATAAGCACACCTCATTTGAACTAATGTTTCATGTTTATTTTCTTGTTTTCTGCACTGAATCTTTTGTAAGTTCACATTTCTAAAGGGCACAATGAAACAAATATTTTGAGTTTTAGTACTTTGGTTTAATGGGATCTTGAAAGATCTCTGGGCAGTAAAGAAGTAAGCACTTAAAGTCATCTGTCATTTGGCCAATGGAATTCATTTTTAAAAACACGCATTTAATCATCAAATTCTTTAGTGTAAAGCATTTCAGTTAAATTGACATTCTATGACTACCAAATAGGAAACAAATTCTTAGTAAGCCTGAAAGAACCTTCAATGGTCTCAACACCTATTTTCCTCCTTAATCTCTTGATTTGTGCCCCTGACTATGTTTTATCTACACTAAAACCCTTGCAGTTCCCAATCTGCTCGTTGTAGTTTAAAACTTTCACGCTTCGTTAATGTCACTGCCTCTGTCATCTTTGAAAAGACGATAGTTTTGTGCCTGCTGAACATATATGAAATGCATGCAAAAAGAGTTTGTTGAAACTCTTTGTTACGACTTGCTCTTCCCGCTTCACATTCTACCTGGCCTCTAATTTAATATTAATTGTTTTGGAAATCAGAGTCAACAAAAAGACCCACAAGACTTAATGGGGTCCCATCAGTCATCATAATTTGATTTGAAAGGCTGAAAGCGGGCAGCACTGTCATTCATAGCCAAACAGTCCTATTGAGAGGTCTTGGACTATCAGGCCAGCTGTCAGACCACTCCATGCACTGGGTGTGCTCTGTTGGTCAGGGACTGGGAGGGAAACTACCTCTCCTTCCCTTAACCAAGCATGAATTATGTTTGTTAGCAAACCTCTCTGGGAATATATGTCAAGCCACATTCCTCCTGGGGCAGCTGCAACTTCAGGGCTTCACAATAAACAGTTCTGAAAACCAGATATTATCTGCAATTTAGCATACAGCATGGAATTATGATACATAATTCACTATGCTTCAGAGAATAGGGCTGCAAGAAGATAAAATCAGGGTTTTAATTCCCAGCTATCTCTCTCAAATTTTAAGAGAGATGTTATGGACTGTGCTCTCCCCACAACCCGGCCCATAAGTCGCATGTTGAAGTTCTTACCTCTAGTACCTTGGACTGTGACTATATTTGGAAACAGGGCCTTTAAAGAGACAGTTAAGTGAAAAGGAGGCCTTTAGTATGGGCCTAGTGTAATCTGACCAGCCCTTATCAGATTAATAAAGTTAAATACACAGAAAGATACCAGAGATGCATTAGCGCAAAGGAAAGACCATGTGAGCACACGAAGAGAAGGCAGCCATAGGCAAGCCAAAGACAGTGGCCTTAGAAGAAATCAACCCTGCCAGTACCTTGATCTTGGACTTCCAGCTTCCAAAATTGTAAGAAAAGAAACTCCTGATGTTTAAGTCATCCCATCTGTGATATTTTGTTATGGAAGCCTGTGTTAGGTCGCTTTTGCATTGCTGTAAAGAAATACCTGGGAGTGCATAATTTATGAAGAAAAGAGGTTTAATTGGCTCACGTTCTGCAGGCTTTACAGGAAGCATGGTGCTAGCATCTGCTCAGCTTCTGACGAAGCCTCAGAGAGCTTTCATTCATGGCAGAAGGCAAAGGGGGAACAGGCACATCACATGTGGAAAGCAGAAGAAGGGGAGAGAGTGAAGGGAAAGGTGCCACACACTCTTAAATTACCACATCTCATGAGAACTCACTATAAGGAAGACAGCACCAAGCCATGAGGGATCCGCCTCCATGATCCAAACACTTCCCACTAAGCTCCATCTCCAGCACGGGAGATTACAATTCAACATGAGATTTGGGCAGGGACAAATACCCAAACTACATCACAGCCCTAGCAAGCTAATACAAGGTAACTGGGATGTCATCCTGCACTTTTGAAAACTTATTGCACTTATTCTTTTAGAAGTCTGTTTCGAAAAAAAAAAAAAATTCTGTTTCATTCATTAGACAGTGAAACTCATTGACACTTTCCTGACTATTCATTATAAAATTGCATCTATCTTTCCAATGTTCCCTACCACTTATCATCCTCTTGCAAACTACATGTTTTTCATGTATTTGTTTATTATCTGGGACCCTTACTGTCCTTTCCCCTGCTCTATATTCCATCACTTCACTAGAATTTAAACTGCTGGAGAGCAGACATTTGCATTTGTTTTGTGCATTGCCCAGTGGCCAGTACCTAGAACACTACTCAGCTTAGAAAGGCTGTAAATAACTATTTACATGACAGCAAGAACAGTTTAAGAATTAGGTAATCTGCAGATTTCTATGCAGAGCAAATGCATGGTGTGACATAGGTATATAATTTGTAGATATTTAACAAATGTTTCTTGAGCAAACACCAGCAGATTTCAAATATTTTCTTCAGAAAACTTAATAATTGCAGAATTTTCATTCTTTCCAAATTCTGTTTTTACTTTAAAAAACTTTACATGCTTCATTTTAAATTTAACAAGCCATATATATATGTGTGTGTGTGTGCAATGCTCTGGACATAGTGCTTAAAGTTTTACTAAATTTGACACATTTAACTCATATCAATTCTTTTTTGGATTTTTAAAAGAAAATTGTAAAAGGTAGAGTTGGTGGGAGAATCTGGGGAAGAAAGGATCCTAGTTCGAGCTCTGGCCTGCTAAGAAAGAATTCTAGTATGAATGTGAAGATCAATAGAGCTTTGAAACTCAGATTAGAGCAGACCATAGGAGAAGCAGGGGTCATTGTCGCTGACTGGATTTAGTACACAGGGAATGTGTAACCCAGGGTTATGTTTTAAAAACCATTCAATCAGTGGCATTACTAATGGTAATTTTCATGCACGTCCGTGTGAAGAGACCACCAAACAGGCTTTGTGTGAGCAACATGGCTGTTTATTTCACCTGGGTGCAGGCGGGCTGAGTCCAAAAAGAGAGTCAGTGAAGGGAGATAGGGGTGAGGCCATTTTATAGGATTTGGGAAGGTAATGGAAAACTACAGTCAAAGGGGGTTGTTCTCTGGTGGGCAGGGGCGGGGGTCACAAGGTGCTCAGTGTGGGAGCTTCTGAGCCAGGAGAAGGAAATTCACAGGGTTAATCACTCAGTTAAGGTGGGGCAGGAACAAATCACAATGGTGGAATGTCATCAGTTAAGGCGGGGCAGGGCCTTTTCATTTCTTTTGTGATTCTTCAGTTACTTCAGGCCATCTGGGCATATATACGTGCAAGTCACAGGGGATGCAATGGCTTGGCTTGGGCTCAGAGGCCTGACATTCCTGCCTTCTTATATTAATAAGAAAAATAAAACAAAATAGTGTTGAAGTGGTGGGGCGCCGAAAATTTCTGGGGGATGGTATGGAGAGAGAATGGACGATGTTTCTCAGGGCTGCTTCAAGCGGGATTAGGGGCAGCGTGGGAACCTAGAGTGGGAGAGATTAAGCTGAAGGAAGATTTTGTGGTAAGGGGCGATATTGTGGGGTTGTTAGAAGAAACATTTGTCATTTAGAATTATTGGTGATGGCCTGGATATGGTTTTGTATGAATTGAAAAACTAAATGGAATAAGAGAAGGAGAAAAACAGGTATAAAAGGTCTAAGAATTGGGAGGACCTAGAACATCTGATTAGAGAGTGCCTAAGGAGATTCAGCATAGTCCTGCCAGCAAAGATTATGTATTTACTTCAAGAGTTAAGAGTGGCAGTTTGGGGATAGCACCAGGAGATATCAGCTGTGATGGCTTGGAGAAACAGTGTAAACCGGCAGTGTAAACAAGAGCAGGGCATGTATGAGTAGTTGAGAATGGAGAATAGGAGTATGAATAGACAGAAAATAGTAGGGATGACAAGTTTTTTTGGGGGGCATAGTCTAAGTTGGTCTGGTGTCTGGAATGAGACTGGGGCCTAATAAAAAGGAGCTCAAATAGGCTGTACCCTGTAGCATTCTGAGGACAGGTCTGACTTCTGAGAAGGGAAAGTGGTAAAAGTATTGTCCAGTCCTTTTTAAGTTGGTGGCTGAGCTTGGTGAGGTGTGTTTTTGAAAGACCTTTAGTCCATTCTACTTTTCCTGAAGATGGAGGACCATAAGGGATATAAAGGCTTCACTGAATACTAACAGCCTGAAAAACTGCTTGGCTGATTTGACTAATAAAGGCTGGTCTGTTATCAGACTGTATAGAGGTGGGAAGGCTAAACTGAGGAATTATGTCTGACAGAAGGGAAGAAATGACTGAGGTGGCCTTCTCAGACCCTGTAGGAAAGGCCTTTACTTATTCAATGAAAGTGTCTATTTAGACTAAGAGGTATTTTAGTTTCCTGACTCGGGGCATGTTGAGTAAAGCTAATTTGCCAGTCCTGGGTGGGGGCAAATCCTCGAGCTTGATGTGTAGGGAAGGGAGGGGGCCAGAATAATCCATGAGGAGTAGTAGAATAGCAGATGGAACACTGAGAAGTTATTTCCTTGAGGATAGATTTCTACGATGGAAAGGAAACGAAAGGTTCTAAGAGGTGGGCTAGTGGCTCGTACTATAGCATAACCTGCCTTTGCTGTTGTGTGGCGATTAGGCCTGGTGGAAATGCCATCAATAAATCAAGCGTGATCAGGGTGAGGAACAGGAAAGAAGGAAATATGGGGAAATGGGGTGAATATCAGGTGGATCAGAGAGATACAGTCATGGGTGTCAGGTGTGGTATCAGGAATAATGTGGGAGGCTGGATTGAAGTCCAGGCCAGGAACAATGGTAATTGTGGGACTTAACAAAGAGTGAGTACAGCAGAAAGTATATGCGTCAGGTATGAGGAAGAAAATAGATTTTGGAAGTTATGAGAACTGTACAGAGTGAGTTGAGCATAGTTTGTGATTTTGAGGGCTTCTAAAAGTATTAAAGCAGTGGCAGCCACTGCACGCAGACGTGAGGGCTAGGCTAAAACAGTAAGGTCAAGTTGTTTGGAAAGAAAGGCTACAGGGTGTGGTCCTGGCTCTTGTGTAAGAATTCTGACCACACTAACTATGCCTAGGAAGGAAAGGAGTTGTTTTGTAAGGGATTGAGGTTTGGGAGATTAATCAGACACGATCAGCAGGGAGAGCACGTGTGTTTTTATGAGAATTATGCTGAGATAGGTAACAGATGAGGATGAAATTTGGGCTTGACTGAAGTAATGGGGGCTGTCTGTGAAGCTTTGCAGCAGTACAGCCCAGGTAATTTGCTGAGCCTAATGGGTGTCAGGGTCAGTCCAAGTGAAAGCGAAGAGAGGCTGGGATGAGGGGTGCAAAGGAATAGTAAAGAAACCATGTTTGAGATCTAGAACAGAATAACAGGTTGTGGAGGGAGGTATTGAGGATAGGAGAGTATATGGGTTTGGCACCACTGGGTGGATAGGCAAAACAATTTGGTTGATAAGGCATAGATCCTGAACTAACTTATAAGGCTTGTCTGGTTTTAGGACAGGTAAAATGGGGGAATTGTAAGGAGAGTTTATAGGCTTTAAAAGGCCATGCTGTAGCAGGTGAGTGATAACAGGCTTTAATCCTTTTAAAGCGTGCTGTTAGATGGGATCTTGACATTGAGTGGGGTAAGGGTGATTAGGTTTTAATGAGATGGTAAGGGGTGCATGATCGGTCACCAAGGAGGGAGTAGAGGTATCTTATACTTGTGGGTTAAGGTGGGGAGATACAAAGGGAGGATGCAAAGGAGGCTTTGGATTGGGAAGAAGGCAGCAATGAGATGCAGCTGTAGTCCAGGAATAGTCAGGGAAGCAGATAATTTGGTTAAAATATCTTGGCCTAATAAGGGAACTGGGCAGGTGGGGATAACTAAAAAAGAGTGCTTAAAAGAGTATTGTCTAAGTTGGCACCAGAGTTGGGGAGTTTTAAGAGGTTTAGAAGCCTGGCCGTCAATACCCACAACAGTTATGGAGGCAAGGGAAACAGGCCCTTGAAAATAAGGTAATGTGGAGTGGGTAGCCTCCATATTGATTAAGAAGAGAACGGACTTACCCTCCACTGTGAGAGTTACCTAAGCTCAGCGTCCGTGATGGTCTATGGGGCTTCCAAGGCGATCGGGCAGCATCAGTCTTCAGCCATTCAGTGGAGAAGATCTGGGAAGGAGTCAGTCAGAGAGCCTTGGGCCAGAGTTCCAGGGGCTTTGGGAGTGGCTGCCAGGTGAGTTGAACAATCCGATTTTCAACGGGGTCCCACACAGATGGGACGTGGCTTAGGAGGAATCCCGGGCTGTGGGCATTCCTTGGCCCAGTGGCCAGATTTCCGGCATGTGTAGCAAGCTCCTGGGGGAGGAGGTTCTGGAGGAATGCCTGGCTGCTGCGGTTCAGGCGTTTGGAAGTTCTTGTGTGCTGGAGATGTGGCTGGGGTTTGTCTCTCAGTGGAGGCAAGGAATTGCAACTTTTTTTTTATTATTGTACACCTTGAAGGTGAGGTTAATTAAGTCCTGTTGTGGGGTTTGAGGGCCAGATTCCAATTTTTGGAGTTTAATGTGGGGAGCAGATTGGGTAATAAAATGTATATTGAGAATAAGATGGCCTTTCGACCTCTTATGGTCTAGGGCTGTAAAGTGTCTCAGGGTTGCTGCCGAACAAGCCATGAACTGGGCTGGGTTTTTATATTTGATGAAAAAGAGCCTAAACACTTCTGATTTGGGATAAAGAAAAAGGAGCATTAATCTTGACTATGCCTTTGGCTCCAGCAACCTTTTTAAGAGTAAATTGCTGGGCAGGTGGTGGAGGGCTAGTCACAGAACGAAACTGTAAGCCAGACCAGGTGTGAGGAGGGGAGGCGATAAAAAGATTATAGGGTGGAGGAGCGGAGGCTGAGGAAGAATTGGGAACTAGCTTGGCCTGGCGAGGAGGCGAGAGGTCAGATGGGTCTGTAGAAAAGGAAGATTAGAAAGACTCAGCGACGCTTGGGATTGGGACTGAGGGGACAGGTGGGAGGGAAAGAAGGAAGACTTGGGACGAGTTGCACTGGGCACAGAGACTAGGAAGGTACTGATGTGTAAAAGAATGCCTGGACGTCAGGCACCTCAGATCATTTGCCTATTTTACGACAAGAATTATTTAGATCTTGTAGGATGGAAACATTGAAAGTGCCGTTTTTTGGCTATTTGGAACTACTGTCGAGTTTGTATTGGGGTCAAGCAGCATTGCAGAAGAAAATAAGATGCTTAGATTTTAGGTCAGGTGTGAGTTGAAGAGGTTTTAAGTTCTTAAGAATACAGGCTAAGGGAGAAGGAGGAGGAATGGAGGGTGGAAGGTTTCCCATAGTGAAGGAGGCAAGCCCAGAGAAAAGAGTAGAGACACGGAGAAGGGGTGGGGATTTCTTGCCCTCCAGAAAAGCAGAGAAAGGGTTGGGGCACGGAAATAAGGGATTGGGGGTTCTTGCCCCCTAGAAAAGCGGGACTTGCCGCTAACGGTGAAGGAGAAGGGGTTGAGGGGTTCTTGCCCCTGCCCCAGAAGATCAGAGAAGGGGTAGAGACACAGAGAGAAGGGGTTGGAGTACTTGTCCCTCCCCCAGAAAAGCGGGACTTGCCGCTAAGGCTGAAGGACCAAGGCAGGCCTCCTTGTGTGGTCTGACACCTTTGAAACGTGGGTGAATAATCAGAGAGGCGTCCCTGAAATGATTAAACACCAAGGGAAGGCTGCCTTCCCAGTCCGTGACCGGTGCTGGAGTTTTGGGTCCACGGATAAAATGTGTCTCCTTTGTCTCTACCAGAAAATGAAGGGAATTGAAATTAAGAGAAGGAAGAGATTGAAGTGTGGCACCAAGAATGAAAGGAGAAAGAGGTTGAGGAATAGGGAGGGAGGTTGGAGAAAAGAGTAAAAAGAGGCTGCCTACCGGATTTGAAATTGGTGAGATGGTTCTTGGGCTGGTCAGTCTGAAGACCTGAGGTCGTAGGTGGATATTTCTCATGGAGCAAAGAACAGGAGGACATGAGATTGATCTCCCAAGGGAGGTCCCCCGATCCAAGTCACGTCACCAAATTTCACGCGTGTCCTTGTGAAGAGACCACCAAACAGGCTTTGTGTGAGCAACATGGCTGTTTATTTCACTTGGGTGCAGGCGGGCTGAGTCCAAAAAGAGAGTCAGTGAAGGGAGATAGGGGTGGGGTCGTTTTATAGGATTTGGGAAGGTAATGGAAAATTACAAAGGGGGTTGTTCTCTGGTGGGCAGGGGCGGGGGTCACAAGGTGCTCAGTGTGGGAGCTTCTGAGCCAGGAGAAGGAAATTCACAGGGTTAATCACTCAGTTAAGGTGGGGCAGGAACAAATCACAATGGTGGAATGTCATCAGTTAAGGCGGGGCAGGGCCTTTTCACTTCTTTTGTGATTCTTCAGTTACTTCAGGCCATCTGGGTGTATACGTGCAAGTCACAGGGAATGTGATGGCTTGGCTTGGGCTCAGAGGCCTGACAGTAACTTCCATTAGATTTATAACTATATGGTCACTTTTAATTTTTTTTTTTTTTGGGACATCAGCTTAGTGCATCCTTGTGTTAAGAACTGTGAAAATTCTGAAAACTTACTCTGTTTGCAATTGAACAGGTTAGACTGCCACAGTTTTATATATACTGGCAGGAGATACAAGATTCCTGTGTCAGAGATACTGAACTTTATTACTTATGGCCCTGAAGGCAGCATGAGCTCAGGTTTGCATCATTCTCCTTCCCCTGCAAGCCTATGGGGTCAATGTGAGGCCCAGGTGGATGTTGCATATACAAATTTGTGCCACAGATGAGGAATTCCAAGGTTAGGAGGTGTCCATTCTTATAAAGGGAACTTCTAGCAAACCTGCCCAGCCCTTTCCCTGGAGGGAAACATTATCTGTATTATCCTAAAGAGCAAACAAATCTGCTCTTGGTTCCAAATAGAGACACTTTATCTTTCAAGACAATGCCTATGCAAATATCTTAGAAAAGATAGTCTAGGAGAAACAAGCTGCCACAAGAACTGCAAAAATGCAAACAGCCTATAAAGAATTGTCTCCCAACATATTGATCTTTTATATTATTCTCTTTATGCGTTGTCATAAAAAGTTGAGAGACTGCAATCCTGCACCTGAAATCCTCATTTCCCTTCTTTTCAGTGTTCTTTATCTGATTTTTCAAAATTCATATACTATTTGTACAGTTTCTATTGAACCTCACCTGAATTCCAGTTTTATTTACTATGTTAAATGATTCATTCAACAGCTATTTACTGAGTATATATTGAAGAGATAGCTGAACTCCCATGTTTGTTGCAGCACAGGTCATGATAGCCAAGATTTGGAAGCAACCTATGTGTCTATCAGCAGATGAATGGATAAAAAAAATGTTGTACATATACACACAAAGTACGATTCAGTGATCAAATGAATGAGATCTTGTCATTTGCAACAACATAGATGGAATGGAAGTCATTATGTTAAGTGAAATAAGCCAGGCACAGAAAGACAAACATTGCATATTCTCACTTATTCATGGGATGTAAAAATGAAAACCGTTGCACGTCATGGAGCTAGAGAGTAGAAGGCTGGTTACCAGAGGCTGGTAAAGGTGTTGAGGGCATGGGGGAAGGTGGGATAATTAATGGGCACAAAAATATAGTTAGAAAAAAATTAATAATACCTAGTATTGGATAGCACAACATGGTAACTATTAGTCAACAATATTTTGTACATTTTAAAATAACTGAAAGTATAATTGGATTGTTTGTAACAAAAAGGATAAATGCTTCTGGGGATGAATACTCCCATTCTCCACAGTATGATTATTATGCATTGCATGCCTGTACCAAAACATCTCATGTACCCCACAAATATACACACCTACAATGTACCCACAAAAATTAAAAATTAAAAAATATATGCCAGGCACTGTACTAGCAATGAGGAATACAATAGTGAACAAGACAGATGAAACCTTTTTTATCTTGGGGGTGGGGAGGTCTGGAAAATTTAACAAAGAAATAAATCAACACTGTTATAATTTTAGAGACTGTTAAATAATAGTAAGAAATAACAAAGAGTTATATAATAGAGAATGATTTGGCAAATGGCAGCATTAGATGAGAGATATTGGCAAAATGTCCTCTGAGAATATGATTTTGAAGCTGAGATTGGAAAGAGGACAAGAGGGTGGCAGAGATTAGGGGTAAAGGACATTTCAAGAGGAAAGAAGAGCTAGTACAAAGATTCTGGATTGGAAAAAGTAGGGTGTTTGATGAGGAGAAGGAAGGCATCTGTGGCTGGAACATACTAGGAGAGGTAAAAATGATCAGAAATGCAGTCCGCAATAGACAAAACCAAAAACAGGTAGGGTTCTTTTGTAATCCATAGGAAATAGTTTAGATTTTATTATAAGTATTATGGAAATAACTTTTCTAAGTACATTTTATACATTTCACCTTGAGCTGGCTTAGTCTAGGGTAATGGGTTTGAAAATGGAGGAGGGTAGACAACTTTAAGAGTTTTGAAACTAGAGGGAATATAATGATTTTATGTGTCTCTGCTACTTCATATACTCAAGTTTAATTTTATCAAGATTATTTTGTTTTATAGAATGTAATTTGTCTCATATTATCTCAAGTACATCAACATAAGGAAGGAAACCAGAGATAATGGAATAGTCTTGATAAGAAAAGAATATTTTTGATATAATTAAATGATTAACAGTCTCTAACAGTAGTAAGGAAATTGAAAGTGTAATAACTTCGCAATTTCTGTTTAGTAGCTCTTATTTGGTTTTACAAATGATATAATGACTGATATGGTTTGATTTAATGGTTTGATACTGATATAATGATATAATGATATGATTTGATACTGATATAATGACTGATTTGTAGCTCCCATAATTCCCACTTGTTCTGAGAGGGACCCAGTGGGAGATGAATCATGGAGGCGGGTTTTTCTCATGGTGTTCTTATGACAGTGAATGGGTCTCATGAGATCTGATCATTTTAAAAATGGGAGTTTCCGGCCGGGTGTGGTGGCTCATGCCTATAATCCTAGGACTTTGGGAGGCCGAGGTGGGTGGATCACCTGAGGCCAGGAGTTCGAGACCAGCCTGACCAACATGGTGAAACCCTGTCTTTACTAAAAATACAAAAATTAGCCAGGCGTGGTGGCACATGCCTATAATCCAAGCTACTTGGGAGGCTGAGGCAGGAGAATTGCTTGAACCTGGCAGGGGCAGAGGTTGCAGTGAGCCAAGATCATGCCATTAAACTCCAGACTGGGCAACAAGACCAAAACTCTGTCTCAAAAATAAATAAATAAATAAATAAATAAATAACATAAAATAAAAACGGGAGTTTCCCTGCACAAGCTCTCTTTTTGCCTGCCGCCATCCATGTAAGATATGACTTGTTCCTTCTTGCCTTCTGCCATGATTGTGAGGCCTCCCCAGCCACTGGAACTGTAAGTTCAATGAACCCCTTTTCCTGTATAAATTATCCAGTCTCAGGTATGTCTTTATCAGCAGCATGAAAACAGACTAATACAATGACTATCATATACATTTAGGACAAAGCAACAATTCTTCTTAATATATATGTCACTACAGCCATGAAATTTTAAATATTTCTTAAATCTTCTTGGGTAGTCAGCTCTCAACTGAGGAAATAAATCTTGTTTTCTAAGATTGTTGCTCAGGCTAAAATATGGGAACAAGATTAGTAGAAATGAAGAAATAAAGGTGCTGTCTAAAAATATATTTACCCCAAATATGGAATTGACAAGGAAACCTTAGATTCTCATTAATATAGTCTTAAAATATTTAATGTTGAATATATTCTGTAACAATTTATGTTTTTTTCTTCATCTTGATTTGAAAACACAGATATGTGTCCAGAGAAACAGAAAGCTAAAAACTTTTAAGTGAAAAAAATTTGTTTCATTATCTAATTTGGTTTAGTCTCTATAAGTGGTGACTTTATCCAGAAGCAAGATGATTGCATGAATTTAGGGATTAATTATTCTAAACATGGTCCTAAGTGGCAGAAACATGTAAGATAAATGTTTTAAGGTCATCATTGTTATATACTATCCAACAGATTTTATCTGTTAACACACTGATAACCTATTTAGGATTTAAGTATAATTTTCAAAATTTAATTATAATGTGGACCTATACAATTCAATTTGTTTTCAGTTTGGCATATTCTTTTAAAACATGATATGAGGGCATAGATACAGAATAGGCAGATATTTATAAATGTTGTGCCAGGATCTTGAGAAATTTTTAGTTTTTTTATATAGGAAGTTCCTTTATATAGTTCCTTTATTTAAATAGCAAGAGTTGGTTTGATAAACTGTGTCCATCAGCCACAGTTAATGAAAAACATATTCAGTCATCTTAATGTTAAAAAAAAAAAGGAAAAAAAGAAGCTACTTGTTAATATCTTGAAATGCTCCTGAGAAGTATGAGAGAAAACAATGATACAATTTATTTAAAAAATATTTTAGCTATATCTATTATATTAATTAGAATTAACCATATAAACATATAACAAGAAATCCACTTCTATACTTCTACAGTTTATTGCTAATATTGGGCCCAACCAAATAACTCTTTGGGCATTAGAGAAACTGACTTTACATACTTTTTTTCTTTTCCTTTGCTTTGCTTTGCTTTGCTTTTAAGGAAGTAGATCTTTCACAGTAAGAAATACCCTAAATACAATTTGTTAACTGATTTCAAAAAAGGCTACAGCGGTGACATTTTTACATACACTATTGTGTCTGAGAAACCTGATAAGCCAACTGTCCATCCACACCATATAGGTACAAGGCCACTGATTCTTGGTACATTAGGGTTTACTGTCCACTGGGCTTTGATTTATGCACCTTTGCCTAATAGTACCTTCTGTATTATCTACGTATCTGTTGGGTAGCTAGTCTGTCTCTCATACTCTCTTTTTCTCTTTTATTTTAAGATGCTTATTATTATATCCTCAAGGTTTTTCTTCAGCATTCAGTTTGTAGTTCATTATCCGAAGTGGTGTATGACATAAAAGTTAGTACCAGCCGCCACGTACGTTCTGTCCCACAGATTTACATTGGATTACACGTCATACTTTGTTTGTAAATGGGCTGAATTTTATTAGCTTGTTTCAATGATTTTGTCTCCTTATTCAGTATGAAGTATGACTCACAAGTGACATTACTGAATCTTCTTATAAAGACTTTTCATTGCAATGTGTCCTGGGGAACATAATGTGAATACTACAGAAACTGCCTTATTTACATCTTCAGCCTTGTTCTTTTTTATTGTTCTGTGTTCTATTTTTTTGGTAGAGGTATCAAAGTATTTTTTTTTTTTTTGGTACTGGTATCAAAGTATTTTCACTACCTACATAGTTTTAAGAACACTACCTCTCTCTTTCAAATTTTTTCTGCCTATAATTGTAGGTCAAAAAATTTTGACCTACAATAGCTTCTGACAAATTCCATTCTATTTTCTCTTTTATCTAAAATGAAAATTATTTTGCACCCAATTCAACAGAATTGCATTTTCTTGGCTTAGTCTGTAGAAATCCAACTTGCTAATTGTTTTATATATATTTCTAAAAACAATTTTGAGGAACAGATGGCTACAACTGCCCAGGTTCAGCAGCCAAAACCACTACTCAACCAGCAACAATCTTTGGCACCTATATAGTTCCTTGTTATGAGATCCCTGGGAACAGGTTGATAGAATTAGGACAATTCCTGTATATTATAGTCTTTTAAGTCTGGTGTTTTCTAAAATAAAACATACCTACACTGTCCATAGTCACAGTTATAATTTGAACACCATCATGGCCATTCCCAATGGGAGAACTGTCAACATGAATCCTTGATAAGAACATGAGGACTTTTATTGTTGCTTTCCTAATTGGAGATAATTACTGCAGCAAATCAATGTTCACAGGGAATTACAACCTAGGTTATACCAGACTTCCTTTGGTTTAATGTGATATGCTTCCAGCAGAATAAATTACATTTCACACTAGGAAATGTAGCAGAATTTCTACAGATATACCTGCCACCCATTTTATTATCAGATTCTATTTTTCAATTGCTCTGTCTATATTGAGAGCCAAATTAAATAAATTCTCCTTACAAAACACATTTATTGAGTGCCTGTTTTAAGAAATATAATGACACGTGATCTACTATAATTTAAAAAAAAGCCCACAGTGCTGTTAAAACATTTTTTGGGCATTATTTCCTTTATATTGATGCAATACCTGTTGGATATCCTCCTTCTTTGTGTGACATGTTTTAACACTGGCTAGGATGTTCCTCTTTCAAAATTCTCCAATTTGGGGGAATATTATCTGTGTGAATTTTCTTCTAGACAGAACAAATGTGATTATGATCAAATTTATCAGAAATATTAAAACAATGAGGAGCTGCATGTATATACTTGTGTTTCACCAGAATGAGGCAAACACAACTGGCAAGTGATCAAATTCGGAAGCCTTCAATGAGTTTCCTTACATGTTTCCTTTTCCTGTTATAATACCACCATCAATTCTGTTGCCAAGTGTCTCCTCCTTGGCATAACACACATCACAGTATGCTCTCAGAAATTTCTTTATTTGAACCCTATACCAATATCTGTTGATCAATGACCATTTTTGCTCAGCATGGAGAAACAGTGCCCTGCATGAAGGGTAGTGAGAATAAAAAGTATCTTACCACCTTTATCATGAGGGTGGCTTTGCTCTCTCCATTCCAAGTTGTTCTCTGTTCTAGAAAGCAGATGTAGTAGACATCTACTGTTTTTGCCTAAACAGAATCCCTTTTTCCTTTTTTTGTTAAAAGTACTCATCCCTAATATTACATTGTTCTGGAAGGACTGAAAATAACAGAACTCAGCACCATGATCGGACCGGGACAATCAGATTATTTCATTCCTCAGCAAACGGAGATCGATCCGAAAAGTGGAAATATGAGCTCTTCTTTGGTGTTGGCATATGGACCCTGAGAGAAAGAACTTTAATTTTTTCTCTTGGACTGCAATAAAGTATAGCTGCCTAAAATACTTTTCCTGACACTTGGAGGTTTGTCCACAATCGGTGAAATAAAGGCAAGACGTAACACTGGATGAAAAAAGAAAATGAACAAAAAAGAAGCAAGTATACTGAAAATGGTGCACATTGTATCATGGTGGCATTGAATCCAAGTAGAATTAGCAGAGGTCCTTCCACCCTGTGATCACCCCCACTGTCTTTCCCAAGCCCAGGAATCCCTCTTCCCTTTTTTTCCATTCCACTAAATTATTTTGAGTTACTGTTTTATAAAATTGCATATAAAAAGTGTTGATTAATACAGAATAGTTAATAAGGTGATATTATGTTTAAGTAATTAATAAGAACAATAATAGCTAGTATTTCGCAATTGCTGTACATTAGGGGCTTTTCCAGAGGTTTTATAAATGTTAATTTAATCTTCACAATAAACTTATCAAAAGTTCAAGGCATAGAGAAGTTAAATAAATTGCCTGAGTTTTCAAGGGCAGAGCTGTGATCTGCCCCCAGGTATTCTGACCCCCAAACTGGCTCTCAACCATGTTTACACGATGAAAAGAAGAGGTGACTGTTGTATCAGCTCTAAAGGCCTCACTTTTGGTGAAATGGGACCTAAATTTGATTGCATACTTGATTACTTGCTGTCAATACTGAAATTGGCACTTCATAATTTTAATACTATTGAACTTTCACCATAACCCTGTCCTATAAAGTTGACTTGCAAATGAAGAAACTCTATCTCTTCAATATTATAAAATATATCCAAGAGTCACAACTAGTGAGAAAAGGACAGGATCTAACTAACAATGTGAGGCTGTGTCTTCACACCAATTCAACAGAGTATCTTGTAAATGTTGAGAGGAGAGGTACTTTAGGTCATGGGTGTCTTTCAATAAGTGCTTTAGAAAACAGGTGACAACTGATTGGGCCTTGAGGTATGAATGGATTTAGCCAGGCAATTAAATAGGAAAGCAGATACTCAAGACAGATTAAAACAGCTTGAGAGAAGTGAAATGAGCAAGTGTAAGACAATTGATACTGTCCATGGATTTTAGAAAGTGTGAAGTGGAGTGATTGTGATGAAGCTTGAAAGATTGCCTGGGGCCAGGCTGTTGAAGGCTTGGTTTGCTTAGATAAGTCAAATGCAGTAGACAATGGATAGTCATCACAGATTTTTGTACATGGGACTTCACATACATTAATTGAATATCCATCATGTACAAAATATTGCTCAAGCAATGTAGGGATCAAGGGAATAAAAGCTTATTCTGATATTATAGAGCATATAACAGCCATGTAAATATGCATGGTATAGAGAAATCAGTTCTATGATGGATGTACCAGCAAAGTTGCAGAGCATTATATAGAGTTGCTTTTGATATGAGCCCTAGAATAAATTGGGATAGAGAGGGAGTTGGGGGGAATTTGAGATAGTTTTTCAAAGAAAATAAAATATGGGGACAAAAACAATAGATAACAATCAGTGATAAGCTATATTTTGAGTTTTAAAATTGTTTTTACAATTACCCCTGTTTTGAGTATATATCTTGTCAAATCATTCTAATAAATATTTGCTGATAACTGTGTGGAATACATAAATAAATGGTAGGTAGAAATTTGGAAGAATCACTACATATTTTCAGTTATCATTCTCTGTGTAAATTCATGCTTTAAAAATATGAGAAGATAAAGTGCCTTGGATATTATTTTATTTTCTATATTTTGTCCCATATTGTATTGTCTAATTTTCATTGAAACCACATAACATGCTTGAATAGGCATGTGGTAACTTCTCAATAAATATTTGTGGAGTGAATGGATTTTATACATCTTTTTTCTCTAAACAAAAATGCGTTTAGAATCATTAGTGCACACACCACCATAAATGTTTACTATAAATATTTAAATTTATTTTCTTTTCTCTTATTCTATACCCAGAGTTGATTGCTTTTCAGCTCATAAGTGAAAGGTCACCACTTAGAAGTAGAGGAAAATGAAATTGGTGACTCATAAACACATTTATTTAAATGGAATTGGGGCAGCAAAATGTAATTCCATATATAGCATTGTGAATTATTCATGTTTTTTATAGAAGTGGGCCACGAGCATTTGATGACATTTTGTAAATTCTAACATTTTTATTATGCAGAATCCCATTGTGCTACAGATTTCCAGTGACTTCACAGGTGTCCTAAAACCCATAAACATCACGACATTACCCTCTCAGTACATATTGTTTTAATTACAATTGTATTTTCAAATAGCCTAATTAGTTGACACATCTTTGAATTACTCAGAAAACCAAATAGCTGAAGTATTTTTGGTTATTGGCTTAGCAGGAACAAACAATGATTATAATGACAAAAATGCTAAGAGAAAATGGAACAGAGCTGACTTATTTATAAGATTGTTGATTTGAATTCAGACTGATTCCAAATTGTTAAAGTTACTAAAAGCAATGTCAAGGTTCTGTAATCCTCAGTGGTTGTTAATTATATAATTGACCTTATTCTCCTAACATGCATAGAAATGCTATTTTATATACTTACTAAATTTAATTGGAAAGAGGAATTAAAAAGAAAACAAGGTCGCCATAGCTCAGCTACTTAAAGGAAAGCCTCTGTTTACATAGATCTGATTTACATATTCATCCTAGTGGTTCTATCATGATCACATTTATTTTTGGTGACTTTCATTCTTTCCATCAACAATGGTTATACTTGGAAGAGTGAAGACACAGAATAAAATCAGATGCTCACTAAGAGTAAATAGAAACTAGAAGAAATAACTATTTGAACTTAAACTCTTCATATATCTGTTCAATCATAATGACCCAGATATCATAAATTACTTATGCTAGTTTAATAACTGGGACAAGTTAATGTTAAGAAACTTGGAATTCAGTAAGTAACTCAGTAAGTTGAACTTTTTCTTTGTTTATAAGGCTGAATCTATAATGAATAAATGTATTTTCTGTTTCCTAAGGATGGCAAATGCATATATTTATGTAGTTTGTGACCATTATTTTGTTACTCTATATACATACATACAGGCATTTTCTAAGAGCGTAGTTTAGGAGAAAAGTGCAGTACTAGAAGTTTTGGTTCATCAAGTCACGTTTCTATCAGACCAAACTTCTCTGGACATCAAAAATGTAATCCATAAAAAGCAAGCATAATTGCCATGCTCATGGGGTGGCTGTGAATTAATAGATGGGAAATCACTTTTAAAAACAGTTTTATAAGTTATGCAAATTCAAGGTGTTAAGAGATTGTTGTATAAAAGTGAAAGATTGGCCTACCATACCACAGAAATGACAAATTTTAATGTAAGTTTTATGTTAATGATCTTTAGATGTTTAGCAGGCAAAGGCCTAATCTTTTTGACCTATTAATACCTCCCTTCATGCCAGCTTAAAATAAATTTAAGAAGGCTTATGAATTAAAAAAAAAGTACACCTGACCTTGCCTTACCTTGCTTTCTTGAACTTTAATGTTATCACACTACATGCCTTTCTAGAGCACAGCCAATTGAAATTTTTTTGAAATAATCAGGACATAGATCATATTTTCTAAGAAATGGCAATATTGGCATCTCTCATTTCAATAGTTTAAGCCACTTGTTAAAGAAGAAACAGCCATATGAATCTTGCCTTTATAGAAAAATGAAGCTGTTTAAATTCAGGCAGAAAGTCCAGTGAATAAAGCCTTATGTCACTAAAAACAAAAGAAAAAGAATGGGGGCTAGAGAACAGCCTTAGTTGCAAATTATTTAAAATAAGTGTAGCTACAAAAAAGTATTTTTATATCATGTTTTTTCCATGAATGTTTGAAATGGTAAAGTGATCCAAAAGCAATTGAAAATACTTTTAGAAGTAGGGTTGCTAGTGAGTTTTCTTGCAGCTTTAGTTAATAATGTAAAATGTCAATATTTGCAGACAAATTTTCAAAGGCGTCAAATGGCTCTATGAAGTCCCAGTTCTCGCATGACATTCTAACTCAATTTTTTTGATAATAGATTACTTTTATGGCACTAATCTGCATGACACCAAAACAGTTCCTTGATTAGTTCACACGCCAGTTGTCTTTTTCTAGCTATATCAGCATGTTCTTACAAGTAAGTGAATCTCTTATCCAGTATTCCCTCAAGGTTTATAGGGGTTTTACAAACTTTTTCCAGTGATCAGCAGGTCACATATAATTTGAGAACTTGATAAAAATTTTGACCACACTGTACAATAAATACACACACAAATCTCATTCTGTGCCATCTCCTGAGATTCACAAACCTGTAAAGTATACTTTAGGGTAGGAGTAGAAAAATATTTCTTTAAAGGGCTGGACAAATTTTGCCTTTATGGGCCAAAGCATCTCAGTTGCACTATTCAACACTGATGCTGTAGTACACAAAAAGCCACAGGCAAAAAGAAAACAAATGAGCATGACTATGTTCCATTAAAACTTCACTTACAAAAGTAAACAACGTGCCATATCTGGTCATGGGCAACAGTTTCCTGATCATTGTGTTTGGGGACCACTTACATCAGATCGAAGACTTGTTGGAAGGGCACAGTTTTAACTGTTAGGATTTCAGCCATCTTGTGTGTGGAAGCCAGTACTTCCAGAATCAGTGTAGTTCATTTTTTAGCTGCTGAGATTGTAGGATGTCCCCTAAAATTTTATTCTGTATATTTTTTTCTTTGACTGTGAGTGCATTCACCCAAATCAGAAATTGCATTCTTACTGGAGACTGAATTGTGCCTTACCCACTCCTAACCCCACAAATTAATATGTTGAAGCCCTAACCCTCAATTTTATGATATTTAGACATGAGGCCTTTAAGAGGTAATTAGGTCTAGAGGAGCTCCTAAGTGTAGGGCTCTCATGATGCTGTTAGGCTCTTGTAAGAGGAGATGCAAGAGAGCTTGCTCTCTTCTCATCCCCCGACTTCACCATGCATTTAGAAGGCAGCCTTCTACAAGTTAGGAAGAGAGCTCTCATCAGAACCTGACCATACTGACACTCTGATCTGAGAATTTTGGTCTCTATAACAGTGAAAACATAAATTTCTGTTATTTAAACCCATCAGTCTATGGTACTTTGTATGGTAGCCCAAGGAAACTAAGACAATTCTCCAGCCGTTGCTGTTACTGGTCATGGTCTTGGACCATGAAGATGAGGGCTATAGCCTTTTGGATAGCAAAGCAGAGAGCTAGAAGGAGACATAGGTTTCCTGATGATTTTGTAGAGTGGACATTGTATCATTCTTGGACCAGAAAAGCTATGGATTTTATGTTAGAGAAATAATCCTCTATCTTGTTAAATTACCAGATGATTTCGTAGTTATTTCTGTTTTTCTCTTAGGTACAATGAAATCCACTTTTAACTAGTAAAGGAAATATGAGTGGATTCCTCCCACATTCTTCAATGTATGGGGTTGTGGTTATTTGGCCTAATCTCTTCGAGCAATTTATTGAGAATTTTGTCAAGATTCACTTGTTGGGGTTCAACACCATAGATGCATTTAAAGTTGTCATGCATCTTGGGATGGTGATGAAAACCAGGCTGATCTAACCTGTGTAACTCTTAATCCATATCCTGACAGTATCTTACAATATGTGTAATATATGATAGATATTAGTAGGACTACACACATTGATACAGTTTGGCTCTGCGTCCCCACCCAAATCTCATCTCAAATTATAATCCTCCCATGTCGAGGGAGGGACCTGGTGGAAGGTGATTAGATCACGGGGGAAATTCCCCCATGCTGTTCTCGTGATAGTGAGGGAGTTCTCATGAGATGTGATGGTTTTAAAAGTGTCACTTTCCCCTGCACTCTCTCTCCTGCCACCTTGTGAAAAAGGTGTTTGCTTTTCCTTTGCCTTCCATTATGATTGTAAGTTTCCTGAGGCCTCCTCAGCCATGCAGAACTGTGATCAATTAAATGCCTTTCCTTTATAAATTACCCAGTCTCAGGTAGCATCTTTTTAGCACAGGCCCAGAGGACTAGGAGGGGAAAAATTGTTTCCTGGGTCAGGCCCAGGGCCCTGCTGCTCTGTGCAGCCTCGGGACTTGATGCCCTGCATCCCAGTTTCTCCAGCTCCAGCCATGGCTAAAACAGGCCAAGGTACAGACTGGGCCATTGCTTCAGAGGGTGCAAGCCCCAAGCCTTGGCAAATTCCATGTACTGTTCGGCCTGCAGATGTACAGAAGACAAGAGTTGACCTTTAGGAACTTCTGCCTAGATTTTAGAGGATGTATAAAAATGCCTGGATTTCCAGGCAAGAGTCTGCTTCGGGGTGGAGCCCTCATGGAGAACCTCAGCTAGGGTAGGGCAGAGATGAAATATGGGGTTGGAGCCCCCACACAGAATCCCCACTAGGGCACTGACTAGTGGAGCTGTGACATGTGGGTCACCATCCCCCAGACACCGGAAAGGTAGATCCGCTGACAGCATGCACCATGTGCCTAGAAAAAACTGCAGGCACTCAACACAGCCCATGAAAACAGCCTTAGGAGCTATACCCTGCAGAGCCACAGGGATGGAGCTGCCTATGGCTGTGGGAACCCACCCCTTGCATCAATGTGCCCTGAATGTTAGATATGGAGCCAAAGGAGATTTTGGAGCTTTAAGATTTAATGACTGCCTGGCTAAGTTCTGGACTTCCATGGGGTCAATAGCCCCTTTGTTTTGGCCAATTTCTCCCATTTGGAATGGGGACATTTACCCAATTCCTGTACCTGCATTGTATCTTGGAAGTAACTAAACTGCTTTTGAATTTACAGGCTCATAAGTGGAAGGGACTCACCTTGTCTCAGATGAGACTTTAGACTTGGACTTTTGGGTTAATGCTGAAATGAGTTAAAATTTTGAGAGACTGTTGGGAAGGCATGATTGGTTTTGAAATGTGAAAAGGACATGAGATTTGGGAGGGGCCGTGGGTGGAATGATATGGTTTGGCTCTGTGTTCCCATCCAAATTTCATCTCAATTGCAATTTCTATGTGTTGAGAGAGGGACCAGGTGGGAGATGATTGGATCATGGAAGCGGTTTCCCCCATGCTGTTCTAGTGATAGTGAGTGAGTTCTCGTGAGATCTGATGATTTTAAAAGTGGCAGTTTCCCCTGTGCTCTCTCTTTCTCCAGCCACCTTGCGAAGAAGGTGTTTGCTTCTCTCTCGCCTTCTGCCATGATTTTAAGCTTCCTGAGACCTCCATAGCCATGTGGGACTGTGGGTCAATTAAACTTCTTTCCTTTATAAATTACCCAGTCTCAGGTAGTATCTTTATAGCAGCGTGAAAACTAACTAATGCACACCTCTTGTGATAAGCTTGTCTGTGAATGTAACTGATGTGGTCCTCACTCTTTTTGTTAACTATGCTTCCCCCTGACTTTTGCAATCCCCTATGACCACCTTTCTGGTACGATATATGGTCTCGTGCCAGAAATAGCAACCTGGGACCTCACAAGATTTATTTTTATCTAGACACTACAGAAAAAGACCAATTGAGCTATTGTACCACTTAGAAAGTTTCTGTTCTTTTTATACCACTGCCTTCTCCTGTTAGTCTACATTAATTTGTCTGCATTTCTCGCTGGTACAATGTCTTGTTGTTAAAGCCAGAAAGGAAAAGCTTTACATGAGGCATCGTAGAAATAGATGGCTTTGCAGTTAAGGAGACTGTTTGCTGTTGCTCTTGAATCTACCATTCTCTTAGGTGGGGCAGAGTGGTACAACCTTATGATGTCCATAGTAGCAACCATTGGAATAAGAAGCTAGAATTAATGGCAGTTAGAAGAATGTTGTTCAAAACCCCTCATTTTCATTCCTTCATATTAGTATCTGTCATTAAGTCCCAGCAAAATTAGAGTCCTTCTCTTTCAGTTTTTGCCAATTGTTAATTGAGCTACTGTTTTGAATGTGAAGAATATCAAGGGGTAAATATCAGAATGCCTTTATGTAATTGCTCTTTTAAAAGTCCATCAACCACTCAATTACTTCCTCTGCCTAAAGGTAAGATAAGAAGTGAAATTCCAGTTATGAGGTCACATTCTCAACATTCATAGTGGTGAAATGAGTTTCTTAATCAGCAGCAATGGAAACATGCATCCCCAATGCCAAGAATAGATCATGAGTACCCCTAAAACTCATTGCATACAAGATTTTTCTTGACAATCTACCATTGTTTAATTCCCATTGATAATGTCCAGGAATTGGTACAAGTTCAGTATTTCCCTATAAGATTATTCATCAGAGGCTCTTGTCCTTACTAGGCTGGAATATTGGTTTCCTATATGTCTCTCATCTTCTTGAACGTCCTCCTATTAGTTTGCACTTCCTTATCATCAGTACTACTGCAGGCAGAGTCCAAGCAAGGGCTGGGAATGACCTAAGAGAATTATCCCTGGTGCTGTTGCTCACAAGAGTCCTTTTAAATTAAAATGTATTTACTTCAAACATGAAATTCACTTTTATAGACCATTTCTATGGAAGCATTCAGCCTCCAGAGTAATAAAGAGTGACAAGAAACTAAAACCCAAACCACACTTTAACCGTTCATGTTTATTTCCTTAAACACTTACAGGTCATCAAATGCCAAAAATTCTTACAGGCAATTCCTGTTCCAGAAGGTTTTATCCCTAACACTGTCTCCAGTCACTCTCAGATTAAATCACAAAATCAATGAGACAGATTCTTAGGAGTATGCCAAAGGAGTTAGACCAGGCTCACAGGGTTGATTCAGGCTTAGGACAAAAAGGAATTCTTGAATCCAGCTGCAGTTACTTTCACTTAGTTTGACTACCCAACCAGGAAATAAGCAATAAAAAAAATATACAGGTGGTAAATCCTACCCCTTCCTATACTTCCCCTGTTCCTCCTCACGGCACACCTAAAGTTTGGAGGTCTTGGTAGTCTTAGTGGTCTCAGAAGGAGATGTAGGTGATTAGAGAAGCCCAGAGACTAGGTCTAATTTTATTTTATTTTTTTCTAGAGTGTGTTTTTGCCCTAGGGTCCATCATATTACAATAGAACTATTTCTTGCTGTGCTACAGGTATATGCATGTTTTATTTCTTGATCTTCCATCAAAACCACACAAGCTATCAGTTTGGCAACACTGGTATTACTGCAGCTCAGAGACTACCTGAAATTGTTCATAAAATTTTCTGTATATGATTACATATTTATTTTTTCTGAAGAGAAATGTCATCCCTTTCATCAGACTCTCAAAGTGGTCTGTGATCTAAAATTATGAAAATAAAACAAACAAAACCCCACTATTACAGAAAATGCCATTCAAATGAGGAAATAAGTGATATAGTAGCTACAGCATTTATTACAAAACAATTGAGATAAGATACCAAGTTATTAATATTAAGAATATTTCAAATCAAATTCTTATTGATGAAAATGTAAATTTACCCATATTAGTGAATACCAAGGACAATTCGATTTTTAAAAACTTATTTATCCATTTAATATTTAAACAAGTATTTCTGTGAAGCTTTCTATATGAAGAGAACTAAATCTGGTTAAATAAATGTAAGATGCAAAAAACAAATCCCAATTTGACTTTTCTTTCATGAATGCAATTTTAAAGTTTACTTGATATTATAACCAAATATTGTAGTTTTATAATCGTCACTCATAAATTCCAAAATGAATTATTGAGAATCCAGTAGTTATTCATTAAACAAGTATATATTGAGCACCTGCTGAGGGCCAGGTCCACTTCTCTGTCCAGGAAATTCAATGTGGAGAAAGACAAGTTCCTTCTCTTATGGGAGGTTAGAAGGAGGAGGTGATAGATTGGATATAGAAAATCTTAAGAGACAAAAAAAATTAAAAGGTAATTTTGGTCTATTAAGAGAATACAGCAGAGTAATTTGCAGGAAAAAAGTGATATAGGGGAGAAGGCTTTATTAGGTTAGATCATTGGCAAACGTCATGCTATGGAGATGGAGAGTAGAAGGATGGTTACCAGAGTCTGCGAAAGCATGTGGGCAGGTACTGTGGGTGGAAGGAGTGAGAATGGTTAATGGGTACAAAAATATAGTAAGAATAAGTAAGATCTAGTATCCGATAGCACAACAGGGTGACTACAGTCAACAGTAATTTATTGTATATTTTAAAATAACCAAGAGTATAATTGGAATTTTGTAATACAAAGAAATGGTAAGAGAGGTGATAGAAACCCCATTTACCCTGATAAGATTATTATACTTTGTATGCCTGTATAAAAATTCTCATGTGCTCCATAAATATATACATCTGTTATATACCCAATAAAATAAAAAAAGAAAATTAAAAAAAGAAAATGCCATGCTAGGTCAGTATCTGTATTTAAAAGAGCTGCTGTCCTCAAGAAACCCACAGGCTGGAGAAAGACATACACATGAAATGAAAAATAGTATAATAAAATTTGGTAAGTTGGGTGATTGAAATATGACCTATAGAAACCTAGATGAGGAAACCAGGAATTCTCCAAGTGTAAGAGGCCTATTTGTCTGTTTATCTATATGTATTAGCTTCTTGAAATAGAGTTTTGAAAATAGTGAGATAAAATGTGCAATATAATTTTAAAAATACTGTTGTAATATAATTAAACTTTCTATTTGTTATTTCAACTTGTTTATAACACATTCATCCTACAAATTAGCTTCTTATGAATGTACTTATCTAAAGTTAGTTGCAGACAGAAGAGTTATACATTTCAGAAAGATTAAAGGTCAGGAAGAAAACGATAATTATTCAGAAACAGGAAGCAAGATTGGTCGAATGGCATCATACAATTAGATGTATTTTGGGCTGGAATAACATGATAAATGTTGGAAAAACCAAGAGATAGTTACTTAGTTTGGAACAGTATTGACGGGCCATACATAGGAAGCACACAGGTTAAGTTCAAATCATACATGTGGTTCAATTCTATTTAAAGATCCTTTGTGAGTATATATATATATACTCACTATATCTATATATATATATACTCACTATATCTATATATATATACACACACACATACACACATATATGTATATATATAAAACATAGAAATAAATTTTATATAGAGAGAATTAATCATAATACTATATCTTTATGTTCAGCATAATGTGATAGCATAGGATGTGGATCAAGCTTTTTGGGTTCCAATCCAAATTCAACTCCCCATGAATACTCTCTCTGCCCCACTTTCCTCAGTTTTATATCTTTCTCTCTCTTTTTTAATTTGTAAGGGTTACATGAGATTGAAAACAATGAATAAACAACTATGTATGGAAACTAGTAAGCGCTAGATAATCACTAACTAGCTTTGCTATAGTTATAATGCCACCTCTTAGGGAAATGCAGATCTGTGGAATTCAGGAAATGGGGATATTGCTTTTAAGATACATCAGGAAAGGCATTTGAGCTGTACCTGGAAAATAACTGGAATTCTATCATGTAGAGGTATGGACTGTGGGATGCAGGGAAGTGGAAAAGGAAGACTTCTTTAGAAAATGTCAGATGAACTCATTTTTCTAGAATGTTGATATTGACCTGACAAAGTGTGAGTGTTATTTATTCATTCCTCAAAGGATTCATTAATTCATTTATTAAACTAATTTATTTTGCTAACTCTGTGTAAGGAATGATGAAATATACAAAGAGAAACTGAAAAACAAAATCAGGATGAAAAGATGGTTTGGATACAGGTTGCAGGTTGTTTTCAGTGACTGAGAATTTAGTATTATTTATTCTCTAGGTGAAGAGGAACTGTAACCCACATAAAACCAAGGATAAGAATATTAAACACTAGCATAATGAGAGAAATTTGTCTAAAAATGTTTAATTCCATGCATCCCAGGAGGACATGAAAAGGGACTCTCCTAGACAAAAAGAATTAAACACATTCTCATTCTCATGGTGTATGTAACATGTTAGAATGATTACATTAAAAAAGATGATTGATTAGATATTTAATAAAATTTAGTAGAAAACTCACAATCACCAACCAATATGACTATTTATTTTCCATTTTTCTAGATATGATTTATGGGAGATGAAATATTTCCTGGTAAGAAGAAAATCTAGAAGTGAGGTTACTACCTACAAAGAGATTTACAAAAGCTTGCAGAAAAGTTACTCTAAAGAAGACAGGTTAGCTAAACATCCACAAATCTAGAAAGACTATAATTATAACATAATACTGAGCAAAACTAAAATGTCAACAAATGTTATTACCTAATATGACCTTTGTGTATTCATAAAGCATTCTCCACAACTGTAAAGCATTTAAATTTTGGCAAAAATGGGTAATATGTAATATATTTCTCAGGTAAATCAATGCCATGCTTATCTCAGAGGAAACTACAACTATTTTCAAATATTCAGGAATATAGAAGTATAATTACATGCATAATATCATAAAAAGATTTAATTTAGAATATGGTAAAAAATCAGATTAACTGCAGGGATATAAAAATCCAGTTTTCATGTGAAGTGAAATAAAATGTCTGGAAAGATTTCCTTAACTACAAATATTTAAGCATTATTGCTTCTAAATAGTATGTTTTCTAGAGATTTCTTTGAAGCATCAGATTCATGTTGAGAAACACTTCTAAAGCCTCCAATTTATTCCCCAAAAGCTGATGTGCTAAGAGGACAACTGAGGCCAATTTATTTCCACAGGGATATAAAGGTACCTTCCTGAAAAAGCCAAGTATTTCTAACAAAGTATAAAGGATCTGCTAAGGGGAAAGATTAGTGAGACAATAAAAATAAGAGAAGACAAGTTATAAATACACAATTGCAAAAGAAGAAATAAATGTCAACATATAAAAAATACTCTCCCTCAAGCATTAATGTATTTTCAAATATATTCAAGGAAACAACACATGTACTTGTTTTTCCCTTTAAAACGATAGCGAACCAGGGTGAGTGGTTTAGAAACTCATGGATTTAGCAACTATTTGGCAACCATATATAAAAATACACTGTTTGGTTTCTGACAGGGAGCTTGTTTTGGGTTTTGATTCATAGCTTATGAGAACATGGAGAATTTTAGTTTGGTTAATATTAGGAAAAGAATGAAACAATCTTTTATCCTACATTTAGCTCTTATAAGAATTCAGTCCTTACCAGGGTAATAAAAATAAGCGAATACATATGTAAAAGCAGGAAACAAATCACCAAACAGATATTTAAGGCATTCAAACACAGAGGGTCTGCATTTCTTATTTACCATTGCCTTCCAAAATTCACTTTAAAACAAGTTTATTCAGAGCAGAAGAAATCTACCAAATATTAAAATGACTAGAGACTCAATTTTATAAAGTGAGAAAAGCAGACATAAATTTTGCCATTAAAATACTGTACAGAGAGTCGTTGCGCATAATGGTTAGTTTTCTTGCCTAAGACAACTGAAGTACTAAAAGAACAGTCCATCAATTTGGATGACAGTGCTGAGAAAGGGTGGTCTGCGCACCACTCCAGTGGTCAAGTGAGGCAGGTGAATGATCCTGACTACAAATGTAATGCCCTGATTCACTAACCAGTTCACAGATTATAATTTAGAAAAAAAACAAAAAACAAACAGGAGCACATTCATCAATAAACATTTTTTTTAAATTTTAAATAGTTGCTTTATTAGCATATCTTTTTATTTAATACTTTGAGTTCTGGGATACATGTGCAGAATGTGCAGGTTTGTTACATAGGTATACATGTGCCAAGGTGGTTTGCTGCACCCATAAACCCGAGTCATCTACATTAGGTATTTCTCCTAATGTTATCTCTCCCCATTTCCCCCATCCTGTGATAGGCCCTGGTGTGTGATGTTCCTCTCCCTGTGTCCATGTGTTTTCATTGTTCAACTCTCACTTAAGAGTAAGAACATGTGGTATTTGGTTTTCTGTTCTTGTGTTAGTTTGCTGAGAATGATGGTTTCCAGCTTCATCCATGTCCCTGCAAAGGACATGAACTCATTCTTTTTTTATGGCTGCATAGTATTCCATGTTGTACATGTGCCAAATTTTCTTTATCCAGTCTAACATTGATAAGCATTTGGGTTGGTTCCAAGTCTTTGTTATTGTGAATAGTGCTGCAATTACCAACATATGTGTGCATGTGTCTTTATAGTAGAATGATTTATAATCCTTCGGGTATATACCCAGTAATGAGATTGCTGGGTCAAATGGTATTTCTAGTTCTAGATCCTTGAGGAATCGCCACACTGTCTTCCACAATGGTTGAACTAATTTACACTTCCACCAGCAGTGTAAAAGTGTTCCTATTTCTCCAAATGCCCTGCAGCATCTGTTTTTTCCTGACTTTTTAGTGATTGCCACTCGAACTGGTGTGAGATGCTATCTCATTGTGGTTTTGATTTGCATTTATCTAATGACCAGTGATGATGAGCTTTTTTTCATGTGTTTGTTGGCCGCATAAATGTCTTCTTTTGAAAAGTGTCTGTTCATATCCTTTGCCCACTTTCTGATGTGGTTGTTTGGTTTTTTATCGTAAATGTGTTTAAGGTCCTCGTAGACTCTGGTTATTAGCCCTTTGTCAGATGGATAGATTGCAAAAATTTTCTCCCATTCTGTATGTTGCCTGTTCTCTCTGATGATAGTTTCTTTTGCTGTGCAGAAGCTCTTTAGTTTAATTAGATCTTATTTGTCAATTTTGGCTTTTGTTGCCATTACTTTTGGTGTTTCAGTCATGAAGACTTTGCCCATGTCTATGTCCTGAATGGTATTTCAGGTTTTCTTCTAGGGTTTTTATGGTTTTAGGTCTAACATTTAAGTCTTTGATCCATCTTGAGTTAATTTTTTTATAAGGTGTAAGGAAGGGGTCCAGTTTCAGTTTTCTGTATATGCCTAGCTGGTTCTCTCAACACCATTTATTAAATAGGGAATTCTTTCCCCATTGCTTGTTTTTGTCATGTTTGTCAAAGAACAGATGGTTTTAGATGTGTGGTGTTATTTCTGTGGCCTCTGATCTGTTCCAGTGGTCTATATATCTGTTTTGGTACCAGTACCAAGCTGTTTTGGGTACTGTAGCCTTGTAGTGTAGTTTGAAGTCAGGTAGCATGATGCCACCAGCTTTGTTCTTTTTGCTTAGGATTGTCTTGGCTATATGGGCTCTTTTTTGGTTCCATATGAAATTTGAAGTTGATTTTTCTAATTCAGTGAAGGAATTCAATGGTAGCTAGATGGGAATAACATTGAATCTATAAATTACTTTGGGAAGTATGGCCATTTTCACGTTATTAATTCTTTGTATTCATGAGCATGGAATGTTTTTCCATTTGTTTGTGTCCTCTCTTATTTCCTTGAGCAGTGGTTTGTAGTTCTCCTTAAAGAAGTCCTTCACATCCCTTGTAAGTTGTATTCCTAGGTATTTTATTCTCTTTGTAGTAATTGTGAATGGGAGTTGGCTCATGATTTGGCTCTCTGTTTGACTGTTATTGGTGTATAGGAATGCTTGTGATTTTGCACATTGATTTTGTATCCTGAGACTTAAGCTTAAGGAGTTTTTGGGCTGAGACGATGGGGTTTTCTAAATACACAATCATGTCATATGCAAGAGATAATTTGACCTCCTCTCTTCCTGTTTGAATACCCTTCTCTTGCCTGATAGCCCTGGCCAGAACTTCCAATACTATGTTGAATAGGAGTGGTGAGAGAGGTCATCCTTGTCTTGTGCTGGTTTTCAAAGGGAATGCTTCCAGCTTTTGCCCATTCAGTATGATATTGTCTGTGGGTTTGTCATAAATTGCTCTTATTATGTTGAGATTCATTCCATCAATACCTAGTTTATTGAGTGTTTTTAGCATGAAGGGGTGTTGAATTTTATCAAAGGCCTTTTCTGCATCTATTGAGATAATCATGTGCTTTTTGTCATTGGTTCCGTTTATGTGATGGATTATGTTTATTGATTTGCATTTGTTGAATCAGCCTTGCATCCCAAGGATGAAGCCGATCTTTATCATGATGGATAAGCTTTTTGATGTGCTGCTGGATTCAGTTTGCCAGTACTTTGTTGTGGATTTTCTCATCGATGTTCATCAGGGATATTGGCCTGAAGTTTTTTTGTTGTTGTTGTGTCTCTGCCAGGTGTTGGTATCAGGATGATGCTGGCCTCATAAAATGAGTTAGGGAGGAGTCCCTCTTTTTCTATTTTTTTTGAACAGTTTCAGAAAATATTGTACCAGGTTTTCTTTGTACCTCTGGTAGAATTCAGCTGTGAATCCATCTGGTCCTGGGCTTTTTTTGGTTGATAGGCTGTTAATTACTCCCTCGATTTCAGAACTTGTTATTGGTCTAATCACGGATTCAACTTCTTCCTGGTTTAGTCTCGGGAGGGTGTATGTGTCTAGGAATTTATGCATTTCTTCAAGATTTTCTAGTTTATTTGGTAGAAGTGCTTATAGTATTCTATGATGGTAGTTTGTATTTGTGTGGGATCAGTGGTGATCTCCCCTTTATCATTTTTTATTGTGTCTATTTGATTCTTCTCTCTTTTCTTCTTAATCAGTCTGGCTAGCGGTCTATCTATTTTGTTTGTCTTTTCAAAAAACCACCTCCTCGATTCATTGATTTTTTGAAGGGCTTTTTGTGTCTCTGTCTCCTTCCATTCTGCTTCGATCTTAGTTACTTCTTGTCTTCTGCTAGCTTTTGAATTTGTTTGCTCTTGCTTCTCTAGTTCTTTTAATTGTGATGTTAGGGTATTGATTTGAGATCTTTCTAGCTTTCTGATGTGGGCATTTAGTGCTATAAATTTCCCTCTTAAGACTGCTTTAGCTGTGTCACAGAGATTCTGTTACATTGCGTCTTTGTCCTCATTGGTTTCAAAGAACTCATTTATTTCTGCCTTAATTTTATTATTTACCAAGTAGTCATTAAGGAGCAGGTTGTTCAGTTTCCATGTAGTTGTGTGGTTTTGAGTGAGTTCCTTAATCCTGAGTTCTAATTTGATTGCACTGTGGTCTGAGAGACTGCTTGTTATGATTTCCGTTCTTTTGCATTTGCTAAGGAGTGTTTTACTTCCAATTACATGGTCAATTTTAGAATAAGCGAGATGTGGTGCTTTGAAGAATGTATATTCTGTTGATTTTGGGTGGAGAGTTCTGTAAATGTCTATTAGGTCTGCTTGGTACAGAGCTGAGTTGAAGTCCTGAATATCCTTGTTAATTTTCTGCTTCATTGATCTGTCTAATATAGACAGTGGTTTGTTAAAGTCTCCCACTATTATTGTGTGGGAGCCTCAGTCTCTTTTTGGTCTCTAAGAACTTGCTTTATGTATCTGGGTGCTCCCGTTTTGGGGGGACATATATATTTTGGAGAGTTAGCTCTTCTTGTTGCATTGATCCCTTTACCATTATGCAATGCCCTTCATGTCTATTTTGATCTTTGTTGGTTTAGTCTGTTTTATCAGAGACTAGGATTGCAACCCCTGCTTTATTTTGCTTTCCATTTGCTTGGTAAATTTTCCTCTATCCCTTTGTTTTGAGCCTATATAAGTCTTTGCAAGTGAGATGGGTCTCCTGAATACAGCACACTGACGGGTTTTGATTCTTTATCCAATTTGTCAGTCTTTGTCTTTTAACTGGGGCATTTAGCCCATTTACATTTAAGGTTGATATTGTGATGTAGAAATTTGATCCTGTCATTATGATGCTAGCTGGTTATTTTGCCCATTACTTGGTGCAGCTTTTTCATAGTGTCTATGATCTTTACATTTTGGTTTGTTTTTATGGTGGCTTGTACCAGGTTTTTCTTTCCCAATTTAGTGCTTCCTTCAGGAGCTCTTGTAAGGTAGGCCTGGTGGTAACAAAATGCCTCAGCATTTGCTTGTCTGTAAAGGTTTTATTTCTTCTTCACTTATGAAGGTTAGTGTGGCCTGATATGGAATTCTGGATTGAAAATTATTGTCTTTAAGAATGTTGAGTATTGGGCTACACTCTGTTCTGGCTTTTAGGGTTTCAGTAGAGAGATCCACTGTTAGTCTGATAGGCTTCCCTTTGTGGGTAACCCGACCTTTCTCTCTGGCTGCCCGTAACATTTTTTCCTTCATTTCAACCTTGGTGAATCGACAATTATGTGTCTTGGGGTTACTTTTCTCCAGGAGTATCTTTGTGGTGTTCTCTTTATTTCTGGAATTTGAATGTTGGCTTGTCTTGCTAGGTTAGGGAAGTTCTCCTGGATAATATCCTGAAGTGTATTTTCCAACTTGATTCTATTCTCCTCATCACTTTCAGGTACACCAATCAAATGTAGGTTTGGTCTTTTCACATAGTTCCATATTTCTTGGAGGCTTTGTTCATTTCTTTTCATTCTTTTTTCTCCAATCTTATCTTCAGGGTTTATTTCATTAAGTTGATCTTCAATCTATGATATCTTTTCTTCTGCTTGATTGATTCAGCTATTGATACTTGTGTATGCTTCACGAAGTTCTTGTGCTGTGTTTTGCAGCTCCATCAGGTCATTTATGTTCTTCTCTAAACAGGTTATTTTGGTTAGCAATTCCTCTACCCTTTTTTCAAGGTTCTTAGCTTCCTTGTATTGGGTTAGAACATGCTCCTTTAGCTTGGAGGAGTTTGTTATTACCCACCTTGTGAAGCCTACTTGTGTCAATTTGTCAAACTCATTTTCCTTTCGTTTTTGTTCCTTTGCTGGTGAGGAGCTGTGATCCTTTGGAAGAGAAGAGGTATTCTGGTTTTTGGAATTTTCAGCCTTTTTGTGTTGGTTTTTCCTCTTCTTCGTGGATTTATCTACCTTTGGTCTTTGCTATTGGTGACCTTCGGATGGAGTTTTTGCGTGGTCATCCTTTTTGTTGATGTTGATGCTATTGCTTTCTGTTCTTTAGTTTTCCTTCTAAGAGTCAGGCCCCTCTTCTGCAGGTCTGCTGGAGTTTTTTGGGGGTCCTCTCCAGACCCTGTTTTCCTGGGTATCACCAGCAGAGGCTTCAGAACAGCAAAGATGGCTGCCTGCTCCTTCCTCTGAAGGCTTCATCCCAAGGGGGCACTCTCCAGATGCCAGCTGGAGCTCCCCTGTATTAGGTGTCTGTTGACCCCTGCTGGGAGGTTTCTCCCCATCAGGAGGCATGCAGGTCAGGGACCCACTAGAGGAAGCCGTGTATCCCTTTGCAGAGCTCAAGCACTGTGCTGAGGGATCCGCTGCTCTCTTCAGAGCCAGCAGGCAGGAACGTTTAAGTCTGCTGAAGCTGCCCCCACAGCTGCCCCTTCCCCTAGTTGCTCTGTCCCAGGGAGATGGGAGTTTTATCTATAAGCCCCTGAATCCTGGGGCTGCTGCCTTTCTTTCAGAGATGTCCTGCCCAGAGAGGAGGAATCTAGAGAGGTAATCTGGCTACAGTGGCTTTGCCAGTGCTGTGGTGGGCTCTGCCCAGTCCAAACTTCCTGGCTGCTTTGTTTATACTGTGAGGGGAAAACCACCTACTCAAGCCTCAGTTATGGCAGATGTCCCTCCCCATACCAAGCTCCAGTGTCCCAGGTCAACTTCAGACTGCTGTGCTGGCAGTGAGAATTTCAAGCCAGTGGATCTTAGTTTGCTGGGCTCTGTGGGGTTAAGATCCACTGAACAAGATCACTTGGCTCCCTGGCTTCAGCCCCTTTTCCAGGGGAGTAAACGGTTCTGTCTTGCTGGTGTTCCAGTGCCACTGGGGTACCAAAAAAAATCTCCTGCAGCTAGCTTGGTGTCTGCCCAAACAGCTGTCCAGTTATGTGCTTGAAACCCAGGGCCCTGGTGGTGTAAAGGCAATCTCCTGGTATGTGGGATGCGAAGATCATTGGAAAAGCATAATATCTGGGCTGGATAGCAACCTCCCTCAAGGCACAGTCCCTCACAGCTTCCCTTGGCTAGGAGAGGGAATTCCTTCTCCCCTTGCATTTCCAGGTGAGGCGACACCCCACCCTGCTTTTGCTCATCCTGCATGGGCTGCAGCCACTGTATAACCAGTCCCAATGAGGTGAGCCGGGTACCTCAGTTGGAAATGCAGAAATTACCTGTATTCTGCGTAGGTCTCACTGGGAGCTGCAGACTTGAGCTGTTCTTATTTGGCCATCTTGCCCTGGAATAATAAACATAATTAAAATTGCTACAGCAAAACACTATTCTCCTGTGTGATTTTTGTCAAGATATTGATCAAGTCTCTTCAAGACATGTCTTGTATTTACTTCTTATCTATTTTGATTAAGAGGCATTTGATCTTGTCACAAACATGGAACCATATTCCTTTCATTACTCCATTCAGCTCAGGTCCTTCTTTAAAACTGACATAAAATAATTAGAAGGTGTGTATATGCAGTATGTCTCAATCCCAAAGAAATAAAATGGTGAGGTTATGTTTCTTATACATTTCTTTGCATGAAATGCAAAGCAGCAGAGGTGAAAGACCATCCTAAACTAGTTGGTGATTCTGGCTGAAAATTCTGAGATCTCTGAAATTAAATTATATTTCTAATTTTATTCTTTCATCACCAAATGCGGAGCATTTTTCAATGAATTAGCCAAAACCTATAAAACATTTTATCTGACAGTGCACAGTGTAACAAAACAAAGGGACTCATGTGTCTATCCATTTTTCTTTCTCTTGCTCTTGGTCATTCTCTCCCTTTTTTTCTTATTCTAATCATCCCTTTATCTACTGTGTATTTATCAACACTTGTTCATTTATACTAAGCATGTTTATAATATGAAATGTGACTTAAGGTCCATTCTACATAGAATTCCATGATTCCACAATAGACTCTACAAATACATCCCAACACTACACAAGTACATATTTTTGCATTTACATTTTTGGAGTCATTCATTACATTTTAGGTTAAAAATAAAACTTATTTCAAGCAAATGGTGCTCGAACTCATTTTCCTATTGGTGCTCCAAATTTGCATCTGCTTAGGAAAATGTAGATGATGGCAATACTCTCTGGAAACATGAATTTCTTTTTTAAAATAGAAATCTAAGCTATTTTTTAAGATATGGATAATTATGATGCTCATGACAAGGTTACATATGAAGAGCTAACCTAATGCACCATGATATATATAGTTCTTACTGTTCCTTATGTTTCAAAATCAAGCATTTCCAAGTTTGACTTGGGAGGCAGTGTGATCAGTGGAAGATCTGTAGTATTGAGAAGCTGTAAACTTGGGTGTCTGTCATAATAAGTAATTTAATAATTGTGTGCTTGTGGGCACTCACTGAACTTTCTGAGCCTTTGCTTCATATCTGCAGTGTGATGATATTAAAACTTATCTTAAAGAACCATTACTGAGGAGCAAGATGATAATGCATTCAGGAATGCGATGTAATTTATTATGCATTGCATCAATGCTAGCTTGAATTATTTATTAAATGTATTAATGAGTTTAATGGAACTGAATTGAAAAGACAGAGTGGAGAAATGCAGTTTATTCATACATGTTTGAAAAATTACTTTTTATTCTTCACTTTCTTTGTGGTTTTTTTTTTTTTTTTTTTTTTTTTGAGACAGAGCCTCACTCTGTCTCCCAGGCTGGAGTGCAGTGGCACAATCTTGGCTCACTGCAACTTCTGCCTCCTGGGTTCAAGTGATTCTTCTGCCTCAGCCTCCCTAGTAGCTGCGATTACAAGCATGCACCACCACACCCACTTAATATTTTGTATTTTTAGTAAAGACGGGGTTTCATCATGTTGTCCAGGCTGGTCTTGAACTCCTGATATCAGGTGATCTGCCCACCTTGGCCTCCCAAAGTGCTGGGATTACAGGTATGAGCCCTGATGCCAGGCCCCTCACTTTCTTTTACTACCCACAACTAATCTACTGCAGAGTCCTATTGTTTGTAGATATAAAATACCTTCCAGCCTGGGCGATGTAGTGAGACCCTTTTTTTACAAAATATTTTTAAAAATTAGCTGGGCATGATGGCAGGCATATGCAGTGCTAGCTACTCAGAAAGCTGAGGCGGGTGGCTTGCTCAAGCGCAAGAGTCTGAGGCTGCAGTGAGCCATGTTCACACCACTGCACTCCAGCCTGGGCAACAGAGTGAGACCCTATCTCAAAACAACAAAACAAAACAAAACAAAACAAAAGCAAGATATATATTGACTTCATTCTGATTCTTCTGTCTTTACTGTTTGTCACTTCTCATTCCCTGCCTCTATCCAAGCTAAAATCATTTTTGATGGACTATTGCAAAATCTTTATAAATAATCTTTCCATTTTACTATTAGTCCCCTGAAAAACTTATTCTTTCTTCAGAAGCCAAAGTTATTTCTTTGACATATAATACAAAATACTTTACTTCTTGGCTTAAAACCACTCAATGATTTCTGTCTTAGAATAAAATCTAAACTATAATAGTGGCCTCTACCTTCCTACCCAGTGTCAATCTATGTGCTATCCTCCCCTTTCAATATATTTTAGTCATATTGTTTGTGTATATTGGGATGGTGGTAGTGGTGGTGGATGGAGATAGGCTATTATATGATCCTAAACTGTTGATCAAAGGATTTAAGAATACCTAAAAGAGTCCAATTATGCTAAATGAAATAAGCCAGGCACAGGAAACAAATAGTGCATGTTCTCACTTGTTTGTGGAATCTAAAACAATCAAACTTATAGAAGATGAAGTAGAATGATGACTACAAAAGGCTGGGGAGTGGGAGGAGTGGGGAGTACAGTGCCGAGTGTACAACATTCCAGTTAAACAGGAGGAATAAATGATAAATATTTGAGACAATGACTACATTAACTGGCTTGATTCAATCATTCCACACTGTGTGTATAGATATCATGGCATCACTTTGTGCCCCGTAAGTATATGCAATTATAATTTGTCCATATTCAATAAAATAAATTTTAAAAAAGAATGAAGAGTCTGCATATCTTTTGATGCTTAGCAAACCTCACATCTCTGAAATAAACACTAGCAAGTTTGAGCTGAGTAGTACAGGATTATGGTTTTCTCCTCAGCTGATAGCTTATAATGCAAATAATCTGTATTGGCAATTGCAGTTGGACCTATTTGCTTTGGAAAATACATAAACATAACTCTTGTCTGAATGGAGAGGCAGTCTACCTCCCTGTAGAGGAGACCCTGGTGAACATGGAGAACAATGCATAAAGATACACAAATGTATCATTAACATATTCTACATCTACCTGTTCAAGTTTTCTATCTTTTGTTCCAGAAAAGCAGAAACTAGTTCTGGGTAATTTGAACTGGTAAATAAATGCAAGGAGTCCTGACACTTGGGACAGATGATAGGTGGCAAGTTTGGAAATCAAGACTTTTTTTTTGAGACGGAGTTTTGCTCTGTCATCCAGGCTGGAGTGCAGTGGCACGATCTTGGCTCACTGCAGCCTCCACCTCCCGGGTTCAAGTGATTCTCCCACCTCAGCCTCCTGAGTAGCTGGGATTACAGGCGCCCGCCACCATGCCCAGCAAATCTTTGTATTTTTAGTAGAGAAAGGGGGTTTTGCCATATTGGCCAGGCTGGTCTTCAACTCCTGACCTCAGGTGATCCTCCTGTTTCGGCCTCCCAAAGTGCTGAGATTACAGGCGTGAGCCACTGTGCCTGGCTGTCTCCTCTACTTTTAAAATTCAAAGCACACATATGTACAATGATTAATATTGTTCATATTTCATGGCTTTTTACAATTTTTCTCATGTTCTTTAGATTTATCAATTTCTTTTGATCTACTTTTAGCTTGAGCTTCAGATTTAATACTTTTTTGATCTATCTGTAGTTAACTAATTTTTTTCTCTGCCATCTCCTGTCATCTCCAATCTGATGTTAAGGGTATCTACTAATTTTTTGAGATATTTTATTATTGATTTGTAATATAGAAGATGTACTTTAATATTTTATAGATGATTTCTATTATTGCATTACAATTTATTAGAACACATTTCTGTTAAATCATGTAATACAAGTTAGTTTAATAATCCTGACAGTTGATTTTAAATATAGCAGTATCACTTAAATGTATTTGCTGATTTATTTAATGGTGATGCTGAAAAATAACACATATGGGACTTTCAGCTGATTTTTTTTTGATGATGAGAGGGAGATTTAATTTGAAATAAAATAATTAGAAGTAATAATATTTAATGGAGTAAGTGTGCTAATAAAGAGCTGATGAAAAATTATGTCTCATTCTAATATTTTTTAATAGGCATTATTCAGCATCGATAATTTAACCTTAAATCCTATTTAATTTCTTATTCTTTACCATATAGTAACAGTATGATATTTGGTAAAAATATAACGAACAATCAGTGATCAATTTTAAATGTTATGTTGGTTACTCAAGAATGGGCAGCTGTTTTTCTGATTATATATTTCCTTTGGTAAGTCAGACATTGAATGTGGGTTCGTCTTTAATGACATTCTCCTATTGCAAGTAACATAATTATTGAATGCTAGTTATTTCATTGTTGTTGTAGACAAGCAGTTTATTAGGTTAAATGATAAATATTACCATAATATTTTAAAACTGGAGCAAGAAAATCAGGTAAAATATGATATGTCTTTAATAAAAATCTGATTTTAACAGTAATTTATAGTTATTTTAATAATATACATGATTGTTATGGTTTGGCTGTGTCCCCACCCAAATCTCATCTTGAATTTGTAATTCCCATAATCCCCACATATCATGAGAGGGAACTGGTGGGAGGTAATCGAATCCTGGAGGTGGTTCCTCCATGCTGTTCTCTTGATAGTGAGTGAGTTCTCATGAGATCTGGTGGTTCCATAATGGGTTTTCCCCACTATTCCCCCCTTTGCTCTGCGCTTCTCTCATTCTTGTCTTTCCTGCCACCATGTGAAGAAGGCATGTTTGCTTCCCCTTCTGTCATGATTGTAAGTGTCCTGAGGCCTTCCCATGCTAAACTGTGACAACAACGCTAAACGCCGACAATAGTTGTACGCAACTGCCACGGTGTTTTCACAGAATCTAGGCTAGAACCAGCAACAGCGTAGTTAAAATAAACAAAGTTCAGTTACCTTCTAAGTTTCAGATAAAACCTGTATAAGTTACTTGTATGTGAACATGTATTATTTCCTTGAAAGAGTTATTATTTATATCTGCAAGGAAGAAGTATAACTTGGATATTTTCTATACAGTAGTAAAATGAGAGTTTTTAAAGATTGCTTTAACATTTTATTCCATGTGCCCTTAAATACAAGAATATTATATTCATGATGTGTTAGTTTTAGAAAGATGTTTCTTCACCTGTCATTAGATAGAAGAATAATTTTTTTTTTTAAATTTTTTGAGATGGAGTTTTGCTCTTGTTGCCCAGGCTGGGCTGCAATGGCGTGAACTCGGTTCACTGCAACCTCCACCTCCCAGTTTCATGTGATTTTCCTGCCTCAGCCTCCCGAGTAGCTGGGATTACAGGCATGCACCACCACGCCTGGCTAATATTGTATTTTTAGTAGAGATGAGGTTTCTGCATGTTGGTCAGACTGGTCTTGAACTCCTGACCTCAGGTGATCCACCTGTCTCAGCCTCTCAAAGTGCTGGGATTACAGGCCTGGGCCACTGCCCCTGGCCGCACTTGATTCTTCTTAAGGCAAAAGAAGTAAACAAAGAAACACAGACATTGTAAGAAGTCTCAAAGATGGCCTCCTATGATCTTGGCCTCCAGATATTCTTTCCTTTATGTAATTATTTCCTGTTGAATGTGGTCTAGACTTACTTCTGAAAAATGAAGTATGGAAGAAGTGATGGGATGTCATTTCTAAGCACAGGTTCCAAAAAGACTGTGGCTGCTGTGGAGGGTGTTTCCTGGAGCTCTCTCTCTCATCACCAGCTGCCACGTTGTGAGGTCACTCAGGCAGCCTACAGAGAATTCTATGTGGTGAGAAACCAGGGCCTACCATTGTTCATGTGCCTGAGCTTGGAAGAAGAGTATCATTCAGCTGCACACTAGCCTGGAGATGCCTGCAGTCCTGCCTAACAGCTGAACTAAAACCTCATGAGGAACTCAGAGCCAGCTAAGCATGGCCATATAGCTCTCACACAAACACGATGAGGTTATAAAAGTTTGCTGTTTTAAACCTCTAAATTTGGTGGTAATTTTTTCTACATGCAATAGATAACTGTTATGGTAGAGTTGAACAGAGCAGAAACTAAAACTCAGGAGTATCATTATTATTTTCTTTTCCATTCCAAAAGTATTGCTTTGGGGAAATAGCTTTCAGCTAAAGATCAAAATAAATCTTGGCATCCCTTTTAAAGACTTTCTTCTATTTGCTTCCCAGAAGAGCATTTAAATATTTCCATAAACTTTAAGGCCACACTAAGTTTCATGTATGTTTTAAACAACAAAATCCCTGTGAAAACTGCATCACTTTTTATTTCTTCTAATTGCTTGGGAAAATGGAAGAGAAATTGTTTGCCAGTTAAGTTTCCCTCATAGTAACACTCCACAGCTAATCAGTGTTCTCACTCTGTAGTTACAGAGAGATTGTTAGCATGGGGTTCCGCTTTATGATGCTGCAGGGCAACTATTATTCACCCCTGGTTTAACACCATGTAGAGGTGGTGATAGGAATCTAATGAACAAAACATCAAGCCTGGTAGTAATTTCAGGAGAAATCATGCATGGTTGTTTGAATAGGGTTGAGTAAGAATTGACATTTTATGTTATAGACTATTATATAGGTGCTTTACCCTCTCATCTTTTGAACATTTATGCCACTGTGATTCCTTCTGTTTTAGAAAGCAATAGAGCATATCTTAACCAGAGCCCTATCTTTGTGCCAGATTTTCCTGCAGCTGTTCCAGCTATAATTCTCTTACTAAGCAACAATCTTAAAAAAAAAGACTGAGAATCTTTGTTACTGTTAAGCTGTTTTATTATTATTATTATTGTTTTCCTATAAAAATCAGACACCCTAACTTAGAATTCATGGACACATAGAGGGCTTTTTTTTCCTACTAAACTTATATGTCTGTTTTTTCCCCCTTAATTGAAACAAAGTAGAAACTGTTATATACTTTATGGAGTTGTGATAAATACATACAGTCATTCTCTGCTTTTATGAAAGGTGAGCACAGACTTGTCAACAAGATAGAAATAATGCCATTATAAGCACATAGAATCTCAGGGTAATTTATCGTGCCTTTCCTATTAAAAAGTCTATAATATATGCCTGGTAATATCCTTATTACTTTCATACATCCTTTCTTAAAAAACATATTTATAGAAATATAGATGTATTCTGTTTTATCAAGCTAAAGAGGATATTTCTATTTTAGGGATTTAAAATGGTGTATCACTGGCATAATATAATTGCCTGAAGAGTAATACTTCATCACCAACTGAAATTAAACTTTACAATCTTTAAAACTGTGTGATTCATCATCCTTGGTTTAAAATCTATAGCTGAGGTAACTATTGTTTATTATTTTCCTCCCTAATTTAGCACTCCTGTTGAACGCTAAAATAGACTTTTTAAAAATGAGCAGTAATATTCTGGAGAGAATTTAACCACAAATCACATACAATCAAATGAAATTTTTCAAATACTTGAGAGCAAAATTATTCCAATTCTTTAGGATTTTGTATACATCTGAAGCCTAACTTCCATAATTATGTTCAAACCTTAGTTGCCCCATGGCAAGGACACTAAGACACTTCATTTAGCTGATAGGTCTCTGAGAGACCAATTGAAGCTATTCCTCTCAAATGATATAAAAGAATTCAATCCATGTGCCTCACTGAGTTATATCTTGGCTTAATCAAGAGGACTGGAAAATGAACCTGGTGACATATCATCTGGGATATGATTGTTGAGGAAATAGACTCGTGGGTGAAGATGAAAGAGGCACTGATAGAATACTCTAATTCCTTTGGTCTCCCATTTAAATATATTTCTCTTTGTGGCCTATTTCTATCAATAGCTGGAAAGAAGTAAATATTCCCAGATTGCTCTTTACAGTAACATTAAATTTAGAATATTGCTTAACAAATCTGTCTCCAAATTTCACTAGCCTTTTGACTACAGAAATAAACATTTTATTTAAATTATAAACACTTTCAGAGTTTCCACTTTTTAAACCATGTGAAGTCTGAAGTTTGTTCTATTAGGTTTCCCTTCAAAAAAAAAAGTCAGCATGTTATTGAACAATGCTTATGTGCTCCACATAACTGTCCTGGTAATTGCACTCATTCATCTGTTTGGCAACTGCTACTGCTCCTGCTGCAGAACTCACCAAGCCTTTGAAACCAATTGTCTTTCTTCCCTGTGGGTGTTTTCTCCAAGCCCTAGGCAGATTCTTCCCTCAACTCACCTGACTACACTAAATCTGGCCTTGGCTATGTATGTGACCATAAGATAAAGGAAATGCATGGGAATAAGAGAGAAACAATGATAGCATGGTGCACACTGGCCTTCCATGTAATTATTTGTTCCAGGCTGTTCCCGTTTGCAACCTCAGATTTTAGTCCAAGTCCCAGAATGGTAAGTCAGCCTCCCTCTACTCAATACAATGTAGTAGTTCAGGAAGAAAATGATGGTGGCTGAAATGCAAGTAATTTCTGTAATGGATAACTGGAATGATTTGGAATGTGTTTAGGAATAAGATGACTGGATTTATTGATGGATTGGATATGGAGGTAGTGAGAGATGATCAAGTTAGGAGAAAATTTTATGATGAAATGGTTGCGGGAAATAAGCAAGAAAAGCCTTTCTCATGGTTTTGAAAATGTGGAAGTCCTCTTTCTCTCATAGCGAATGAAATGCATTGCTATTCCAGTTTTTACCTAACATTGCATAGGCTCATTAAGGGCTGAGAGGAAATGCAGCATTCATTACCCATCGCTTCATAGTAATTTGGTTTCCTTAAAAGCTAAAATGGTCACATCATAATAATTCTTGTTTAAATAGACAGCTTATAATTTGCTTCCTTAGATTAACAAAGTTGCTTAAGTACAGAAATTCTAACATAAAAAGTCGATAGCCTGATGCTTATTTAAATGGATTATATAAAGCACAATATATAAAACGTAGTGCCTAAGCCACGAACACCCGAATCTGTCTACATTTTGTGAAACAGCCAGACAGATTTTCGTTGTATTTAGAGGGTAGGTAAATAAAATCTCTTTGGGGGCCCTCAGGGTCTCCTTCAAAACAGAGGCAGACATTCTTTAGCAAAGTTATAACTGTGATACGGGAGAGACCTATATGACTAAGTCCTCATCTTCTCTGTGATAATTTCCTCAGAGACCTTCCTGACCATGATTTCTAAAACAGCACCTCTCATTCTAGTCTCTCAGCTCACTTGACTTTTCTTCACACTTATCTGACCATGTGAGGTATTTAATTCTTTACTTCTTGTTGTTTGCCTCTTCTTCCCCAGACGCAGAATGAAGGATGTGTTTTTCTCTGTTTTGTTTATCACTGTAACTCCTGCATATAGACTAACACGTTACACACAGAAAGCTAGGACTTAGGATCACTTGTGGAAGGAGTATATGGATAATAAAATGTGCCATGTTTGCCGCTGGCCATGGTAATCACCTGAAATCTGCCATTTAGCTTCTATTTCAGCCCTAGCCTTTTGAAGACAAAATAGGGAAATGTCAACATCATTGTCATCTCTGACATTCCTGAGCTGGTGTGTGATCAATGATCATGTTAGCACACAGGCTACCATCATATCTCATCAGTAAAATGTCAGTAATAAAAACAAGGCCTGAATACAAAATATTCACTTTTTTAAAGTAAGAATTATAGATGTACCCTGCAGTAAAAAATTCACTTTATGTGCTTTATGTTTTGAAATTCTATTAGTCTGCTAAAGTAATAACAACTATTTTGAATAAAATAATATAATATTTAATTATGGTTCTGTTCATAATTATCTGTAATAAAATATCTATTAAAAACTTTAGAACATTTTAATAATTAGAATAATAGATTGCCAGTTATTATAAATAATTAAAAGATAATGTCTGCTAAATTTATTCTGAACATATTTTTATATGAAAAATTGTTTATAAAAATTAAGCAAAATATGAATAATTATAGTGTTTATGTATTATATTCTAATTCCTAACATTTAAAAAATAACTTTAAAATTATAATGATCTTAAGTAGACAAGGAGTGTTTCAAGGAAAGTCCTACTAAAAATTCTTCACCTATTTGAGGAAGAAATAAAATTAAAACAATAACTGGATCCAAAGTTTTTTGAAGAGAAAGATCTTAAAAATCACCTAATATGTACAGTAAATCATTTTCCATGCAGTCTAAAGAAGAACATAGAAAGTATAAAAAAAAGAAGTGTTAAAGTATACGAGGTGCCAACAACATATTTTGTTTTTGCAAATCAAACTTCATAACAACAGATTTCTCAAAGAGACATTAAGTGTAAAATTTTTTTTAAAAAAACAAGAGTAAACTTGTTCTAAAACAATTCCTTACAGTTTTAAGTATATGGAAGATAAAGACTAAATCAAGTTTATTGAAAAGGAGTGCTGAAACACCAAATGTTTTTAGTAGTTGAAGACGAAGTGCTTTTGAGAGCTCACAAAGGCATAACTGAGAGAAGCACCTGGTTTTATAAAACAGAAACAAAAAAGAAAACAAACAATGAACAAGAAAACATGCTACTGAAAAAACTTTCACTTGAATTATGTTCTTCTATAAAAAATTAGAGATAAATGTTACTAAATCATGAGCAAATTGCAAATTAGCTTCTATTTGGATATACAAGTATAAAAGGCATAGTAGAGAGTAGATAGCAGAGTCAGTACCTGGCAGCATAAATAACTTAATTTTTCATGACATATTGTCAAGATTTTTATAATTTGACTAACATTTTAAATATTAAAAGTAGAATTAAAATTTTTGACAAAATGTTATGTATTCTTTATCTTAGGTTTTAGAAAATGGGTATATTAAACAATATATTGATTTTGACATGCAAACATTCAGCTTTCAGCAAAATGTCTATTGGGTAAACCATTGTTTTGTGACGATGCCTTAGATACTTAACACAAAGAGTAGTTTCGTGTTTGTGCCCTTAGATCCTTAGCACAAGGGGGATGCTCTGAATTTAATGTACTGAACTTTGATAATCTGCTCTCCCATCAGGAGAACTCTATTTAGTTTGCTTCGTGGTCAATAGCACCACGTGGGATTTATTTATTTAACAATGCTTCAAGATTCTTTATTGCAACAAAAGAAGGCCAGCTTTAATACAACACTGACTGCCCTTTTTGAAGCATCAGTTTGACCCACAGTTTGCCACAATAGGAAAATCCTTGATACCTGGTGGTTTCCGATAAACGTATTATGAAATGGTCATTGCAAATGGCACCGTTTCTTTGGAAAGGGCACAGGTTTCCAAAATGCAGTTCTTAATTTGTCTTGTTTTCATATACACCGTGATACAAGATAAAAGCTGGTAAGCATAAAATACTTAAGAAAATCTGTGTAAGAAAGCTTTTAAATTAGTATTTTATGAAGTAAATAAAGTTTGCTTCATTTTCTCTCACACTTCAACTTAACCAGTGATGACAGTCTTAATCAACAACTTAATAATTCTTTATGTATCATTTCCTTCCAGCAAAACGAAAAGAGGACATGTTATGTAAAATTAGAATTCTTGTTTGAAAGCACTTAGTGAGGTAATAACATTTTTGTTGGCTTTGGCTTAATAAGAAATAGATGATATTGATATATTCAGTATTTTTTACATATATATATAATATACATAGGAATACATTAGAAAAAAATCTAGAAGCTAAGGATAAATAAATTCTGTAAATTCCATGTAATTATATTAAAAAATATCTACAAATTATGTAAGAAAATAAAACATTTTTATGTGAAGGTTTTATAGAACTAATAAAATTTTGAAATCTAAAAATATCTGTATACATTGCATAAAAAAGAAAACTTATAGTATTTTCTGTCTTTTAACATATTTATACGCTTTCATCTTTATATGTTTATGGGAAAGAAAATTAAACATCTAAATAAAAGAGTTTTTAGTTTTGCTACTTATTGCAAATCAAAACCATGTGGAAGGCTAAACATATTTTTGAAAATTACTTATATTTTCTACAGAATGTGTCTCAGTCATTATTATTGCCTAGAAATATGAAACCAGTATTCTTTTAATGCAAAGAATGTTATAATTTTTCTCTGAAAGCTGTTGCAGGCTGGATTTGACTAGAAAAGCAAAACCACTACAACTATTACGGAAATAAGGAGTTTTGTGTAGAATTAGGCTTTCCACCAGTGTGGAGGAAGCTGAAATTCTAAAGAACCAGAAGACTTCAGCCAGAATCAGATGCTGTAACAGTATGCTTAGTCCAATAGCAGGACATCATGCAGTGGAGGAAGGAAACGATACAGCTTGGGGAAGGCTGCAAACCCCATGGCCAGAAGTCCCTGGCAGCATGCCACGTCCCTCTGCCCTGACACTGAACATCCTGGCATCTGTTTCACTTCCATCTTGCAAATCTCTCATGGGCCCCTTTTATCAGCAAATTACCATTAGTAGTACAAGGGAGGAATTCTAAGAAAAGCAGTTAGATTTTGAAAAGTCTATCAATGGTGCCAAGTTGACCGCAACCAACCAAGTCATTTGACACTATATCAAAGCTTGAAGTGAAAACTTTTAATTTCCAACATTATCTAGTCTTTTCACAGAACATGAAGGGGTGGACATTTTGGCCTGCAGGACAGGCAAATATTGGACCTTAATCCTTTTAATTTAAAGCTTTTTATAGCTTTTTATCCCTCCTTCAAAATAAAAACTTCCTGTGATGCATATTCTTGAAATATGAGTTGGCTATAACATATTCAATTAGGAAACTTAGAGGAGATTTCAATTTAGGAAATGAAAAATGTGAATGGAAGAGCATGGGCCCATTGAATAAAGAGCAGGGAGGAACTGAGACAGAGATCCTTGAAAACCGATTTCATCTACTTTACAATAATGTTTGAAACGAGTCCTGGGGTTCTTTCAAATGTTCTTTCAGAAGAATATTTCTATTCTTTTAAAATATAAACTATGTATTTCAAAAATAACCATATAGTGGCATTACTGTTCTGACTTGTCATATGTATATGATGTACATCTATATCATATATGTGAGGTAGAGATATGATATATATCTAGATATGATATAGATTTATGATATACATCAATATCTAGATATGATATAGTTATATATACACAAGTGTATCCTGATTTAAAAATGATACTTCAAACAGTGGTGTTAATTTACCAACAGTGAAGCACATTTGGTTTTTTGTTTTTGTTTTTGTTTTGTTTTGTTTTTTTGAGACGGAGTTTCACTCTTGTTGCCCAGGCTGGAGTGCAATGGGGCGATCTCGGCTCAATGCAAACTCTGCCTCCCAGGTTCAAGCGATTCTCCTGTCTCAGGCTCCTGAGTAGCTGGGATTACAGGTATGCGCCACCACGCCCGGCTAATTTATTTTTAGTAGAGACAGGGTTTCTCCATGTTCGTCAAGCTAGTCTCGAACTCCCAACCTCAGGTGATCTATCCGCCTTGGTCTCTCAATGTGCTGGGATTACAGGCATGAGCCACCGCACCCAGCCAGCACATTTGGTTTTTAAGGAACAGTGATGGTCATGATCCTATAGAGGAAGAATATCAGCTTTTAAACTTCCTCTAGCATAAACTTAAACCTAATAATCTACTTATGAGGCTATAATAGTGTAGTGTTTTCAAATTAGGTGGAAGGTCTGTGGAAACTTTCAGTAATGCATCTCACTGATACTAAAATTATATTACCTATTACGAAATAACCATACATAGAAGAGCTATAGAGGACACAGTTAATGGAACTGTATTTCTAAATGTTGCACATATGTAGAACATTCAACCCCTTGGAACCCTGGACAACACATGTATCTAAAAACACTTCTTCTAGTTAGGAGAAGAAGAAAAAAGAAAACATATGAAATAGGATCTGTTCCATATATAATTAGTGCATTTACATAATTGAGTCATCCAGTCCCAAAATTTCATTTCTCCTTAAAACTCATTTCCAGAGGAAAAAAAAAAGCCTCAAGGGAAATAAATATAAATAGGACTTCTTCCTGGGACTTTTTCCTTTTACTAAAGAGAGAGTATTTGTTTCTGTAATTGCTTTACTAGATCCAGAAAATGTTTCTTGTCTTGGTGAGTAATTTGAGTACAGTTAAAACTTAGAGATATTTAAAAATCCATTAATTAAATCTGGGCTTTTATACTCTTGGTCCTTAGATTAAAAAAAAAATCTATCAAGTTCTAATTTTTTTCTTGGGTTGTTCCTTACTGCTTAACAAGACTTGTGATACGGTTTTTCAAACAGTTCCGGGACAGAAAACAGCATAAGATGTAGAAGTCTGAGGCTCATTTTCACCGTATGGTGGAAAGCACACAGAACTAAAGTTAAAAGCAGAAGTTCTCTTATGCTGATTTTGTTCCTTACTAAATGTATGGCTGTGAGCATTTCATTCAACTGCTTTAGGCCTTAGATTGTTTACTTGTTAATTTATAAGGACAGCCAGTGA